>NC_000001.11:204699738-204851253 GCF_000001405.40 Homo sapiens
CTGCATCCTTGTTTATCTATTCCCAAGGTTTAGAACAATGCCTGACAAATAGTAGGTGCTCAAGAGATATGTGTTGAATGGGTAAAGAGATGAATGAGTGAATGAAAAGATGATATGTAAATGTGGTACTCAAGAACCCCTCTCCTGGCTGGGCATGGTGGCTCACACCTGTAATCCCAGCACTTTGGGAGGTTAAGGCAGGCGGAGACTAGCCTGGGCAATGTGGTGAAACCCCATCTCTACACAAAATACAAAAATCAGCCAGGCATGGTGGTGCACACTTGTGGTCCCAGCTACTTGGGAGGCTGAGGTTGAGGATCGATTGAGCCCGGGAGGTGAAGGTTGTATTGAGCCAACATCATACCACTGCACTCCAGCCTGGGCAACAGAGTGAAACGTCTCAAAATCAAAAACCAAAAAACCCTCTCCTGGCTGGTCATAGTTGCTCATGGCTGCAATCCCAGCACTTTGGGAGGCTGAGGCAGGAGGATCAATTGAGGCCAGGAGTTGAGACCAGCCTGGGCAACATAGCGAGACTCCATTTCTACAAAACAACAACAATAAAAAAGAGAAAACATACCTCTTTATACCGGCACTAATCCTGCCTCTGGTCCTTGGCTCATGCCGTTTCTATCTGTGAGAATGTCTATCTGTATCTCCCCATTTTTCTATAATATTTACGTTCTTCAAGGCCCATGTGGAGTCCCTGCTTCCTCTCTGAAGCCTTCCCTGACTACTTCAACTCCCTGTGAACCTTGAGGGCCAGGATTTTACAGTGATCTGCTACATAGCCCCAGAGTGCTTGTAAACCTCAGGGACTCCATACATGTTTATAGGTTGAGAGTCAGAGCAGGCCAGCAGAGCCACAGACAGGACCGCAGTTGGGACCCACGGTGGTGCCTCTCCCCACCTCTTAGCTGGGTAACCTTAGGCAAGTTCCTTGCATTCTCTGATTCATTTTCTTCAACTGTCCTAAAAATGAAAAGTGCCTGCTTCAGAGGCGTGATGTGAGAAAGTACATGTGGAGCCTCTGACACACAGTCGTGTTTGCTATTATCATTACCCTTCCTTCTGCCACAACCGCTCCTGTAAGCTACCTACTGAATTCATTATGTTGTGCGGCACTTTCCAGCATCTTACCCTGATCCTTCTTCTTCTTCTTTTTTTTTTCCAAGATGGAGTTTCACTCTGTCACCCAGGCTAGAGTGTAGTGGCACGATCTCAGCTCACTGCAATCTCCGCCTTCTGGGTTCAAGAAATTCTCCTGCCTCAGCCTCCCAAGTAGCTGGGACTACAGGCATGCACCACCACACCCGGCTAATTTTTGTATTTTTAGTAGAGACTGGGTTTCACCATATAGGCCAGGATGGTTTTGAACTCCTGAACTCAGGTAATCCCCCGCCTCGGTCTCCCAAAGTGCTGGGATTACAGGCATGAGCCACCACGCCCGGCCACCCTGATCCTTATTCTAATCCTGTAAGCAAGGCATTGCTCGCCTTGTTTTATATAGGAAGAAACTAAGACTCAGACATGTTGGGTAACATTCTAAACGTCACACAGCTAGCAAATGGCAGTGCCAGGAGTCAAGGCCAGGTCCATGGATGTTACAATATGCATGGATAACAAATCCATGCATGTTACAATATGATTCTGGGAAGAGTACAATGGTCCAGCTCCTTCTCTGCAGTGTTGTTCTCTGATGTTGCAAGTCATTTAGTCTTTCCCAATGTTCTTGTAATGAGATGGTTCAGATAGGTGGTTTTTGATAGCACTCTTGACCATTGTGTCATGATTTTCTACTCAACTGTGAACTCCTCAAGGGCAGAGACTAAATATCAGTCAAGGTTACTTGCCTAGCATCTATCATTCTCCTTACACGGAGTGGACCCATATGTGGTTGTTGAATGGATATTTGACTAACAGAGGCTGTGGTGGATGGATAGAAGAGAGGTGGGGGACTTATTGCATGCAAACAAATTGACATTGAGGTGTAGGACACAAGTCTAGCAAGGACTGGTTTTTTCCAGGCACTTTAGATTTTTAGTTATTCCCTTATCCCGCAGGGCAGTTGCACTCACATCTCACCCTGGTCCAAGCTTAGGAGGTCTTAGAGAGGCAAGTTCCTGGCTGTATTAGACCAATGTTAGACCTGGTGTATATTAGATAAGTGAGCTGCACTCTTCACCATTTCTCTGGTTAAGCATGAAGGGTTGTAACGAAGGGAGATGGGTGACACCAAGTACAGTTGCCATTGGCAGAGGGATGCCCAGGCTGGGACAAGAGGAAAAAGAAGAGGGGATTCTGTCATCCATCTGTGTCTGGGATAAAGAAGGCAGAGAGGAGAGTTACTTAGGCTGGCAGTGCTAAGGAGAGGGATTTCTGAATGGCTCTAGGTGAGCTTGTGGTTTGGGTGGCTGTAGAGAGAGAGTTGTCTTGACCTTGAGCTGTGGCAGGAGCTGGTTATCTGTGGTGGGCAAATAGGATTCAGCAACTGAGTGGCCATGACCCACCTTGCTTTTCATGATTTGAAATAGCTGTCTCCTGTTCTGTAGCCAGGAAACTCAGTCTTCTATACTCTACTCAAAGTGTTGCCTCCTCCATGATGCATTCCTGGAGGCCCTGGGAGAGGCCACCACTCTGCTCCGTGTTCCTCCATCATGATTAATGGGAGGCTGTGCTTGACATTTGTCGCTGCAGAGAACTTTTGGAGCTCTCAGCACCTGACCAAACACATCTATGTTCAAGGCCCACCATGGAAGTGGAATATAGAAGAGTGACTGTTGGAAATGGCCAACTTCTCCTCAAGAGTCCATGGCCGTGTCAGCGGGAGTCCCTGGGGTCATTCCTAGCTCTTCCCTGGGTGGTTCCCTCACACTCCACACTCAGCACCCTCATGCCTGCCTGCTACCTTCTTCAGGGGCAATGCTCTTGCCTACCTTTTCTTTCCAGAATCGCTCAGTTCACTCCCTGTGTATTTATTGATCACTGGCTTACTGTGGACTGGCCCACGAGTGATGAGAAAGGGGAGACCAAAGTGCCCTGAGGTGTCATGGTGTAGAAGACATGACTCATACACCATTCCCCACAAGGGAACAGCACCGTGCCATCAAGTGCTGATCTGGCCATCAGGTACTGACAGTGTGGTGGGGACCATGGGGGCTGTGGGTGAGCAGGGGGAGGGCTGGGCTGTCCCCTGAATGGGATAGAGCCCCAGAGTGACCATCGCTACCTTCCTTCTGCCAGACATCATCATTGGCCCTTCTCCCCTTGGCACCAGGGAGAAGCTGGTGAGGTAGCCGCATGGACTCAAGAGCAGTTTCCAGGTATGCCTGGCTAGAAGGCAGCAAGGTTTGGACCTGTGCCCCTTTCTCTGGAGGGATCCTGGGAGCTTCCCAACTGGCTGTCCCATGCAATTGGCTTTGGTTTCCCCACTAGCTTCCTTAAATATGTCTCCCACCCTCTCAGGGCCCCAAGGGAATCACTTTGGAAGATCTGTCACCAGAGGACCTCGGCTCTCCAGCCTTGGAGACAGAGGACCTGACACAGCAGACAGGCTGGGAGGGCCAAGGTGGAGGGGAGACATTGTTCCTCTGGCTACTTTATTTCTTTGGTTTGTGGCTGTTTGACAACAGCAGTAAAAACAGCTGATAAATTAGGTGCCTGGCTGTAAACTGCAGCACCAGCCATGGTGCAGGGAGCAGAAGTGCTCCCCGCCCTCCAGCTCCCTGCACACTCTTCAGACCCATCAGGGCCTCATCCTCTCCAGCACCCCCAGGTCTCAGTCCTGAGGCTCGGACACAGACAGGGGCAGGGGTAGGAGGGCCCGTGTCTCCCTACTCCCAAGTGCTTTCTCTGATCACAGAAGGACCGGAGAGCCGCTGTTGGCTCCTCAGAGGCTCTTCAAACAGAGAGATGTTTATATCTTTTCAGGGCGATCCAAATTACAAGCAGGGAACTGGAGCCTAGGGAAAGTAAACCAAGGGATACCAGATAGAGATTTTTTTTAAAAGCTTGGTTTAAATCAACTTCCAGAAGACCTCAAATGAGGCCAGTGGGGCGGAGGAAGTGCCAGAAGAAGAAGGCCGGCAGGTCTGGCTCTCCAGAGTCCAGCGTGACCCAATGCCCAGTTCCTTTCTGCCCCGGGCTCAGTTTCCCTCTGTGTACCGTGGCCTCTTCTCTCCCAGCTTGTTCAGGAGGCCAGTTAATCTAATGGAGAAGGAGCCCTGCAGAACTGAGGATGGAGTCCTGGTGCAGCTTTGAGGAGCTGCCAGGGCAGGCCAGATCTTCTGGCAGCCATCGACTGCATCGGTGGCCACAGGAGGAGGCTGGCCTGAGGCCTATATGGAGGCACTTGTTCTACCCCTTGGCAGAGACAGTCTGTCTGGTCTCCTGTCACTTCACCTTTCTGCTCCAGGCCCCGCAGGTGCCTCGGACCCTGGGTCAGAGCCCATGGGGTCTAAGGCATCCATTCGATAGTGCTCCATGCCAGACTATGCAAGAGGCCTTGAGGCATAGGTACCAGCTAGAGCTTGCCCTTAGAGTTCAGTTCCTGAACACAGAACACAGCTGCTTTGACTCAGCACCCCCGGTTCTGTTTCTCCACTCATCCGTCCGCCCCCTGGCACGGCTGTATAAAGCTTCTACAGCTGGGTTATTACTCTGCGTTTGTTTGTGTGTTTTCTTTGACGGTGTTAAGTCATTTTGCATGTGCATCCTGCCCACATGAGGACAGCTTGGAGAGCAGGAACTGAAACTGCTCCCTCTTATAGATCTGGGATTCTGCTCTGGGAGCAGGCCTGGTCACAAGGATGCCAATAGGCAGGGAGAGGACACCCGGAGTGCACAGGGAGAGGGCACCCAGGCCGTGTGTGTGTGTGTGCATGCATGCAAATAAATTGACATTGAGGGCTAGGACACAAGTCTAGTGGGGGCTGGTTTTTTCCAGGCATTTTAATTTTTTACTTATTCCCTCATCCTGCAGGGCAGCTGCACTCACATATGACCCTAGTCGAGACTTAGGAGGTCTTAGGGGGGCAAGTTCCAGGCTGTATTAGACCAATGTTAGACCTGTTGCATATTAGATGAATGAGCTGCAAAGCAATGTACCATTTCTCTTTGATATAGATGACATTTCTCACCTACTGGAACTATCTAGGTAGCATTTTGTCCAATCTAAGGAGCTGTGTGACTTTAGGCAAGTCACTTAACCTCTCTGAGTTCAGAACTTTTATCTTGGAAGTTAGGAAAGGGATCCCTGTGAAATTGTTATGAGGATCAAATAGATAAGAAACAGCTCTGAAAAGTCAAAGTGTTCTAGAGTGACTAAGATTCTATAACAACCATTAAGATTAGCAGAGATGGACTATGGCAAACACTAGAAGGAAGCTAAGAACTCTATAAGGCCTTAAATAGGCTGTACTTTCTTTCACCACTTGTGCTGGCCTGCCCATTCTTCTCTAGTGCTTTTTCTCTGTGTAGTGTGTGTATGTTTCATTTTACACACACACACACACACACACGAGTTGTCCAGATCCATCTGTACCTACATAGATTGCCCCAAACAGAGATATGTAAAATATACGCATAACTACACCTTTTCACACTGATAAAAACACCCACAAACATGCACACATAGATAAACAAAGACTCCCCCAATCACATGCAAGCCAGTGAGGGTAAGTACGTACATACAGTACACACACACATCCCCAACAGCGGATGATTGATGGCTGATCACCACCCACCCCCTGCTGCCTACGGCACCCAGGGACCCGTATTTTTCTACAGTGTGGTGTCCTGGAGCATGAGTGAAGGCTCCTGGGGCTACAGCCCCATTCCTTACCACCCTCAGCCTGCACCCGGACCCAGGAGACGTTCAGGTGACTGAATGTCAATCTGCATGCATTTGAAGGAGTTTCTTGGGTCAAGAGTTCCCTTTGGGGCACTAGGCTGACATCCTGGGGCTCCCTTTGGCTATAGCTTATTCCTACTATAGCTGTCCGCAGTAGAGTGGCTCCTTGGTGGGTAACTGCTCCCCCAAGGGAGGGTCCTGAGCTTCAGGAAATGTGTTTATGGACCTCTAGGAATAGGCTCCATCTCACCGGGTGGGTTTACAACATAAGAAGTAGCTCCATATTAGCAGAATAGGAGTTAAAAGATTGTCCTCATTTCTGAGCTTTGGTTTCAGTTCTGAAAATTCTTCTAAACAAACCTGTTCAGCTCCAGATGTTCAGACCCACCTCTGTCCTCCCAGCCCCAGCTCTGGGGCCATCAAGCACACAGGCCTGGGGCAGGTGTTCCAGCCACTCTGCGACTCCCCAGGAGCAGGGACCCAGCCCTCCTCCCACCATGGTGATCAGTACACAATTCAGTTGTGGAGCAGGGGGGTGATGAGTCAACTTTGGCTTTGGACAAATTACAAATGGCAGAATACCTAGAGTTTCCATGAGGCTTCACCCCAAGATGAAGCAAACTTAGGAAAGTTCCACTTTCCTCTTGGGTTTGGAATCAAAATTGGCTGCAGGGTACACAAGAGGGGGCTGGGGTGTGACTGTTGTCTCCTTCCCTGACTTCTTGCCTCCTGCTACCTGACAGAGGCGGTGTTGGCTGGGGTGTTGGCTGTGAGTGCAGGGGGTGCGTGGGTGAGTGGTAATGGCTCTCAGGATCTCTGCTCTGGTTCTACTGTGGCAGGAAGGAAAAGGCCTAACGCCAAAACATTCCTCCCTGCTGTCCCCAGTGCAGTATTTTTCCACCTACTCCTCTGGCTTCAGTATCCATTTAAATAGAGAGAAGGCAGGTGGGGATAGAGGAGAGAGACCAAGGGAACTAGAGACAGACAGACAGCGGAGAGGGGAAGAGGAAGAGGAAGGAGGACAGGGTGAGCGGGGAAAGAGGCGAGGCGAGTAGAAAAGAAAACGAGAGCGGAAAGAAGATAAGCAGAGGAAGTGGGGGCAAGAAAATGAAAAGGGAGAGAGATAAGAAGAGGAGGGTGGGGGAAGCTCAGCTTTGCGGGTGCTTGGCAGAGACTCCTCCTCCAGCTAACTGAGGAATCTGCCTTCCTAAAATCCATCTGGAGCCCAGCACACCCCAACCTGGGGAGAAGGAAGCAAGGCTGTGCCTCGCCTGGTGGCACGGTCCTGGTGGCGAGCTCCTGGGCTTCATGGGGATGTGTGAGCAGGGCTGTGCCACCCTCTGTGCCCACCTGATGGGAGATCTCTCCCCCGACCCCAGGGCCCCAACCATGCCTCATGCACAAACCACGTGTCTACCATTATATTCCTTTCTGTAGCAAAAGACTTGGCATGGGAAGCGTTCCTCCGTCTGCTCCAAGGGAGAGGCGACCTCTGAAAGGAATCCCCTACTCCTGCCCCTGGCAGTGCCCAGCCAGGAAAGGTGCAGGGTCTCTGGGGGTGAGCCCCCCACCTGGGGCTCTCTTTGTTCCTTTCTGTCCTGGGGCTTTGGCTTAGGAAAAGACTCACACACAGTGGAGTTTATGGGCACAGTTGGATGTGTCTGTGTTGCCATGACAACAGTGAGGGCTGCCCCTGTTTTCTTCTCCATTCCATACTCTGCTCCTTTCACAGGCTAAAACCTCTGTCTCTCTCCCCCATTCAAGCACTAACCAGGCCCAGGCCTGCTTAGCTTCCCAGATCAAAGGAAGTCAGGTGTGTTCCGGGGGGTATGGCTCTAGTGTCTCTCTCTCTCTCTCCCTCTCCCCCGTTCAATTCTCAATTCCTTCCTGTCCCCGCTGCACTATTGCTAATTTCCATAGGACTTAACCCCCCCTCCCCCATCCCTGTTTCTCCCTCTGGAAGGAGTAAAGCTATGCAGGTTTTTCTTCTAAGACTGCAGGTTCCCAAGAGCTGGTCCCCACCACTGTGGGTGGGCAAGCATCCTATGCTGTAACTGGGAGCAGAGGGGTAAGGGCCTTGGGCTAGGTGTGTGGGACGGGTGGGGCCTGGGGTTTCCAGCATCCTCTGAGAAATTGCACTCTTCTTCCTCAGGGTATTCCTTCAGCAAACCCCATCCTTGTCCCCAGGCATCTGCAAGGGCAAGCCTCTTCTACCTCAAAACTTGTTGCACTCTTTCTTGCAATTCCTGGTCAAGATTCTTCTCGCACTGTGAGCTTTGCCTGTTTAACTCCACCTGACCTCAAACACCAGGACTCCTCTCAGCTTTTAAGTGCACTCTGGAATATCGATCTGCGCTTGCTTCTGTGGTACGTGCCCCCGTCTACATTCTGCGCTGCGTTTATGTGTCCAGCCTCCTCAGCAGCCCAGGGCAGTAGTTTTGTCAGTCAAGCACAACTTGCTGTGCTCCCCTCCAAATCCCCTCCCCAGTACCAGACCTCTGTCCCATGGCAAACCCATTCTGTGCAGATTGGCAGGGCCAGCCAGCCTGGCCTCCTTTCTTCCACTCAGCCCCACCTGCTCACAGGGATGGGTACCCGGCCCACGCAAAGCCAGACAGTGCCTTCTCTGAGATTTGATGCTAGGATATAAGCTCTTTCTCTGGCCAGGCGTGGTGGCTCACACCTGTAATCCCAGTACTTTGGGAGGCCGATATGGGTGGATCACGGGGTCAGGAGATCGAGACCATCCTGGCTAACATGGTGAAACCCCGTCTATACTAAAAAATACAAAAAATTAGCCAGGCGTGGTGGCGGGCGCCTGTAGTCCCAGCTACTCGGGAGGCTGAGGCACGAGAATGACGTGAACCCGGGAGGCGGAGCTTGCAGTGAGCCGAGATTGTGCCACTGCACTCCAGCCTGGGTGACACAGCAAGACTCCATCTCAAAAAAAAAAAAAAAGCTCTGTCTCTGGCCTGTGAGCTGCAGGACAATTTAGGCTTGGAATTTCAGGGGCCACATTTCTCACTGCATGAAAAGAAACTAATACCTGGCAGGAAACAGTGTCATGACTAATACTTCATGTTTACGCATCACTCTGGGAATTTGCTGAGGGCAAGGGCTGTGTCAACCTCTCTCAGACTGGAACTCTCTAGGGGCGGGAATGGGGTTTACCTCATTAGATTGGGAGCTCCCCTAGGCAGGAGTGACTCTAAAGCAGATTAGGTGCTAAAGTCCTGGTAGTGTAATTGGTAAAATATCATGCATTTAAAGCTCCTCACTGAAGGCTTAATTCCTTATTCAGATATCTTTATAAAAATCCCACCTGATCATAAGCTCTACCTGGGTAGTATCTATCTCATTTGCCATTCCAGGTACTGAGTCTAAAAAGAAAGACAAGGCCATCTTTGCCTTGGGGAATTTGCAATCCTGGAGCAGAAGGTATATGTGCTATGATGGAAATACATAGAGGGTCCAGTGGGAGCATGGGGAGAAATGGAAACACTATCTCAGGACAGGTCTGGAAAATCTTCCGAGAAAAGATCCCAAGCCAAGTCCTGAAAGAGGCACAGGTGTTCGTCATCTGGGCAGAGTGGAGAGTGGCATTCCAGACCAAGGGAACCGCCTCAGCAGAGGTGTGAGGTGCTTGGGAAGGGGAGGTAGGTGCCAGATGTTGGGGGAGGGTGAGGCTGAATCACCTCCAGGTGTTTAGGGGCATCTTCCCATTCACTCCTCTCCCAGACCCTCCCTTGAAGCAGTCTTTAGTGGAACCATCTTCTGCTGTTTGGAATCCACAGTCCTTCAGGGCAGACTAAAGATCCTGGGCCATGCAATATGCTTCAAATGACCTCCTTCCTTAGCCTTCATCTTCGGGCTACCATGAGTCAGAATTCTCCGCTGCAAGTCCCACTAACCAACTCTCTCTGTTAGAAGCACAAATAAAATATGAAATTTACAGAAATATAAATGGAGCGATGTATTTCATCAGCTGAGGATACAAAGAAGGTCACAGATCTTTGAATACTTAAATCAGTCCTTTAAGCAAGCACATTTCCAACTAAGCAGAAAGTCTAGTATCTCTTAGTACCCTCTCTTCCTCCCCAGCGCTTGCCCCTGACAATGGATGGAAAAGCCCTAGGGCTTGTGTAGTGTGATGGGCCAGTAAAAAGATCACTGCAGAGCCGGCCCAGTCCCTGCTTCTATCACTGCCTCCTGAATGATGGCTCTGCATTGGTCTCACACAATCCAGAGGGGCTTCCCCATGGCGGCCTTTATGCCTTTGCCAATCAGACGCCTGCGCAGACCTGCTCATGGCTATGCCACTTCTGGGGTTTCTGATACAGTGCAAATGAGCTTTTACTCACCTGTTTTGCTACTGTCCCCACAGGTCACCAGCTAAGTAGCTGGGTCTGGGAGAGTTTCTAGCCACTGCCACACTAGCCACACTCTGTGCCACACTCTGTGCCAGAACCGGCCACTTTGCCATCAAGGTAATGCAGGCTCCAGTGTGAAGGCAGCTGATTGGGCTATACTGGCGCTTCCTAAATTTCACTGTGTGTGAGAATCACCCAGAGAGCTTCTTCAAGCACAGATCTGGGGCCCACACTCTCAGACATTCTGATTCGGTAGGTCTTGGATGGGGCCTAATAATCTGCATTTCTAACAACTCCCACAGGATGTTGATGCTGCTGGTCCAGGGGCCACACTTTGCTTAGCCCTGTCTGCAGTTGCCCTCAGGATGAATTCTCCCCTGGGGCCCCTTTTGTCTATTCTCACCGGTGATGTCTGAGGTCATTACCATCTCAGTCCATCAGGACCTGCTGAATTAGAGCAAATAAGAGATCAGCGTCCTGATCCTTTTCCTTTCAAGGGGCTCCCTGGGCGCCCTATGCAAATGTGTCTACATCTTCCCGGCTACCTTTGACTCCTCTATTCCAATAGTTCTCACAGTAGGGTCCCCAGACCAGCAGTATTAGCATCACAAGGGAACTTGTTATTTAATAGAAATCCCAATTCTCAGGCTCCAGCACCGACCTCCTGTCCTGTGCACTTTTGTGTGGAAAAGTGTCAGAGTGGCCTAGAGGCAGGATGGGCAGGAGTGAGGAGAGAGCTACTCTTCACTGGGTTTTCCACAAGAAAGGCAAAGCAGGGCGGAGTGAACATTTTAGAATTGGCTAGTTTGGATAATGTCAACAGGCTTTAAACTACAGGGGTGGTCTCCAGTTGCCTGGTACCTGGCCCTGGGATGAGTAGGGCAGAGGAAGATTGCTTCCCGGGGTAAAAGGGCCAGACTGAGATCTGGCTCTGGGTGGGTTCGTTTGCATATAAAAGGCCTGCTCCCACTGAGCCCATCACTGTCTCTAAGAATATGGCTAGCCCAGGGAGGGGCAGTCTGTCTCCAGCCAGAAAGATGTTTAAACATCAACACATCGTAATACATATAGAAAGTTAAAAAGATAAACAATACACCCACTGATTCAGAAACTCTGGGGTGCGACTCAATGCTCCGTTTTCATAGCCTTCCAGGTGTTACTGATGCAAACCACAGTGTGAGATCCGTCACTCTATTCCAAGAGCTGCTAGAAGGGCAGCCTTTGCTGAGCCATAACATAGATCCCGTTAGCCCCTCTCCTAACTTTACCTACGCTCTGGGGCATTCAGTGACTTTCCTAAGGTGACTGGCCGGATCAATCCAGCAGCTGTCAGCCACACACCAAGAGGCGGAGCAGGCCAAGGTGGCTGCAGAGTGCAGTGGAGCCGTGTCCAGCCCTGCACCGCAGGCTGTGTGTCTTTGGCCATGTCACTAACTTCTTTGTGTCTTCTCAGCAGAATGTGGGGACAGAACCTAATGATCTCGAAAGTCTCTTCCAGCGCTGCTGTTTCTTGATTCTCCTTATCACTCCTCAGCGTCCTTATCTGTAAAACAGCGATACTGCCCACCCTGGGATTATAGAGATGATGAAATGAGGTGATGTGTGCGGAAGCACTCAACATCTGCTACAGGCTTGATAAATGTTAGCTGAATTTTAAATTATTCTCTTGTCCTTCCAATTCTGCCCAAACTCTCCTTTTCCTTCTATCCACCCCCACTCTGTGCTTACATCAGGCCTTGGGGACCCTCTCCTCTCCAGGATCGCCTGCTCCCTACAGAATTATCATCCCTATACCCCACAAACATCCCTATACCCCACAAACATTATAGGGAGGACAGTCCCCCATATACTCCCTCAAGAATCGGGATGGAGGGGAGGACTGGAGTCCTGGCTCTGCCACTAGCTTGCTCTGTGACCTTGGGCAATTTGCTTAACCTCTCTGTGCTTCCGTTTCCATCTCTGTAAAACGATGGCTCTTCACAGCACCCACATCCGAGGGTTTTTGTAGGGATGAAATGAGTTAATGTGATGGGATTACATGTGATGGGATTTGAGCAGTGCCTGGCATGTAGCTGTCTAGGTTACACAGTGCCTAAGTCTGTGGCACCCGATAGGTGGAAGGCCTCGGACACAGTGCTAGGGCTGGCCCACCGGCCTCCATCCCTCTACTCAGCTGCTTCCTGCTAAATCTCACTCCCTTTCCCGCTCCAGGTCTCAACGTGCTCCTCTGAGGATCCGCTTGGAACGTCTGCTCCGGAAGGAGGACCCTCGAGTTTCTTCACTGCCTGTCAGCAGCCCCTCTGCCTCCTCCGTGCCCCCGCCCCTCTCTGCCAGGGCGCTTCTGCCAACGGCTGGTTATTTATATCCCTGAGCAGCTGCTGACAGACAGCTGGGAGCTGGGAGGCGGCTGACAGGGACGAGCGAGGCAGAGATGACAGGGTTGTGGGCGGTGCTGTCACTCTTAGCAGGACTGCTGGGCAGAGCCCCCTCCCCTTCACCCAGGGAGGTGAGACTTAGACAGGCTGATGGGCCATCTGGGAAGGGGCACCTCAAACGGCAGGAAGCCAGGGCTGTGAACCCCGGGGACGGGGAGGCAGATGGGGTTGGAGGCAAGGACTTTGCCCTTGTTGACTTTTTCCAGAAGGGGTGGAAGCAGCTGCGGCTTAATTATCTGGGCACTTGCCCAGGGCATCTGCTGCTCACAAGCTGTATGACCTTGGGTAAGTCACGAACTCTGGGATTTTGGTTCCTCTGAGGAAGTGAGATGGTTGGATGAGATGCTCGCTGAGTTCTCTTTCAGCCACATTGATGTAGAGGTTACAAACACAAACCCTGGAGTCTTTGCATCCTGGATCTGCCACCAGCTTGCTGTGTGACTTTGAACAATTTACTTAACCTCTTTGCACTTCCATTTCCATCTCTGCAAAATGGTGGTTCTTCATAGCACCCACATCAAAAGGTTTTTGTAGGGATGAAATCAGTTAACGAATACATGTGATGGGCTTCAAGCAGTGTCTGGCATGTAGTTGTCTAGGTTAAACAGAGCCTGAGTCTATGATTCTTTCCATGTGTCCTCTTGCTCTAAGAAGGTAACTGAGTGTAATAGAAATATTGAGAGTGAAGGGTGGGGACCTTTATATGTGTATTGCCACAGAAAGGTGGTTTTATGGGCTTATATAACTTGTGTCATCAAATGAGTGAGTTGCAAATTGGGAAATGTTTAGGCTATGCCTACATTTATTCTGAGCCTGAGTCCTAGTTTTCTGACTTCTGCTTCTACCTGTAATCTCTGGGGACTGTTGTTTGCTCAAAACAGCAAAAAATTTAAAGGTTGTTGTTCTCCTTTTCTGACTCTCTGTCTCTGTCGTTCTCCCTCTCTTCGCCTCTCCTGTCTCCTTGCTAACTCTTTGCTGTCCTTCTATTTTAAAAATTAATACCTGGTCTTGGAAAGAACAAAATCCCAAGCATATAATTAAGTCCCTGGGCACAGGTGTGCCTACAGCACCAGCCTTGGCCATCAGGGTGGGGTAGGGGCTGAACAGGAATCTGGGTGGGAGCGACCTTGGAGCAGGGAGCATGTTATCCACCAGCTCTTGAGCCCCACCACACACTGACAGACACACTGGGTTTATAGCCACACCTCAGCTGTGCTGTCTGGGAGCAGTTGAGCTTGGTGCGGATGATGTCCGTTTCTCTCTTTTACTAATCTTGGCCTTTAGGAAAGGAGTATCCCCGTAACAGAGGAGGGGAGAGAGGAAGGCAATGGAAGCTAACAGGTTACCATGGAAACCAGCTGAACACAAACTCTTAGCTTCAGCTAATACTTGACTTGCAAGAATACGTCCATAGCCACAACTTAAATGAAACACACACACACACACACCCCTTTAAAAGAAGGATAAATGTTGACTCATTCCTCTCTAATCACAGCAATTAGGTTCTAACGTTGGAGTCCAGATGAGAGGTGAGGATGACATGAATCTGTTCTGCTTTAAAGAAGCCCCTTGCAATTCACTCTTTTCTTGGAAACCCAGAGCATTGGTTCCAACATCCTGACCTTGCCCAGAAGTCATGTAGGGAGGATTATGAGTCCCCACAAGTCCCTTAATTCTTTGCTGTCATGAAGGCCATATAGACCTAAGTTAAGATGTCTGGTTTGAAAGAGTCTCCTGCCATTGGCCAATCCCACTACACTGGAGAAAAAAGGAAGTGTCAAAAATGGTTGGACATTTATTAAACATTTCCTGATCACCCACTATGTGCCAAGTGCCAGAAATTTAAAATGACAATAAAAATAAAAAATCTTGTCCCTGTCATCCAGAAGCTCATAGCCCAGGCAGTAGGAGGTATGATACAAATTATCTGTTACTAATAATAAGGGATCCACATTTGCAAATGGTTTTTATATATGCATGAATATTACATTCAAGGTGACCCCTATGATGTCATGCTTTCTTGAGCGGAGAAAGTGAGAACTGGGGCTCGAGAGAAAGAGAGAGAGAGAGAGAAAGAGCTGATCTAAGACCACGTTTCCTAACACTCCTAGGCCTCCATATTCACACATGCCCCAGCCACAAGGCTGGCAGCTTCTTTCCCACCCTGGGGTTACTGCCTTCCTAATTCACAGGCTACCTCCTTATAAAGGGGGTCCACCCCGCACTATGGAGCACTACCAGAAGCAACACAGTTGTTGTAAGATGCCCATTGGGAAGGGAGTTGGGGAGGGTGTCTTTCAGATGAGCCCACTGGCCGTGTGCTTGTCCTCCACACCCTCTTCCAGCAGTATCTCGTTTAAGCAACAAGCAGCCCTCTAAACCCTATTTGGAATGTGAGTTACCTGGCTTCAGGGAGATTACAGGTGTACAAGGTCACACAGCTGGCCTGGGAAAGAGCCTGGATGCCCCCGACGTAGATCTGTGGGTCTTCAGTGCTTTCCCCCACTAGTCCAGACAGGCAGATCTGAGCTGGAAACGTTGGCTTGCCAGGAGGTGTCGGCCTTGAGCCAATTAGCTCTCAGTCTGTGAGCCCTCTTTCCCACCTCCCAACAGTGAGCCTCAATTCCGTACATTCTTTTTCCACTTCAAGGTTGGATTTCCATCTCCTCTCCCCACGTTTGGAAACTGTCCCTAATCACCAGAGAATCTAATTATCACTCCTTCTAAGTGATTCTCGGTCTCTGTTATGCAAATGTGGCTATAATTGTGTCAGGCAGGTTTTGTTGTCAGTTCCTCTTTCCTTTTTCCGCCTCTCTCCCCATCTCCTTTCAAATGGGAGTTGCAGTCTCCCCTCTTTTTATTGTAAAGGCCTCTAAGGTCCCCGGCTCCCTGAACCACAAATCGCCTAGATTACCCACTCTGGATCCCAGGAGCCACAACAGGCCCGCCTCAGGGCAAACAGAAGGAAAAACAAACAGCATTTAGTGGAATTTATTTTATTTCTTTGGAGATGCAAATCAGAAGGTTCCCAATGAGCTCTGGGAAGGGAGCGTCTGTGTGGGGTGGGAGGAAGTTGGTTCTGTGAACAGCAGCAGAGTCAGGGAAAACAGGCCCCTGTGCAGCCGGAGGTGCTGAGGGCATTCAATGTGGGCCTAGGTGTGTGGGACAGGGGTGGGACGGGTGGGAAGCCCCACCAAGCCCTAAACCACTGCATTTGTTATTTTGTCTGGTTAAAAGTTTCCAGGCCCCTTCTGAGTGGAGGCTGTTAGGATACTCTGGCCTGTTTTCCTCGCAGCCTTGGCAGCAGAGTGGGTGCTTCCAGCGTTTCTCAGGGATCCCCCCACTTACTCCCTATCCCTAGGGAAAATTCAGGACTGCCTTCCTTAGCTGCTGTCTCCTCCTGATCCTTAGCAGGCAGAGCAGGAGGCAGGGAGGCTCTGGTTTGAAAAGCAAATCCTTCTGTTTGTTTATTCATTCTCTCACTCAACAAAACCTTAAGTGCCTACTACACTACAGGCAATATTCTAGGTACAGGGAATTAGACCTGAGCTTTCGATCTGGTGGATACAAAGTAAATAGATATAGCAGAGGAGGTGGCAAAGAATGTTAAGAAACCAGGTGCGGTGGCTCATGCCTGTAATCCCAGCATTTTGGGAGGTCAAGGTGGGCGGATCACCTGAGTTCAGGAATTCAAGACCAGCATGGCCAACATAGTGAAACCCCTTTTCTACTAAAAATACAAAAATTAGGGCTGAGCGCTGTGGCTCATGCCCGTAATCCCAGCACTTTGGGAGGCCGAGGCAGGCGGATCACAAGGTCAGGAGACCGAGACCATCCTGGCTGACACGGTGAAACCCCATCTCTACTAAAAATACAAAAAATTAGCTGGGCGTGGTGGCAGACACCTGTAGTCCCAGCTACTTGGGAGGCTGAGGCAGGAGAATAGTGGGAACCCAGGAGGCGGAGCTTGTAGTGAGCCGAGATCGCACCACTGCACTCCAGCCTGGGCGACAGAGCGAGACTCCATCTGAAAAAAAAAAGACAGAAACCAGGATGAAGGAGATACCAAGTGATGGGGATGGTGCAGTTTAGCAGGGCTCTCTGATAAAGGGACATTAGAGCAGATCTCAGTAAAATGTAAGGCTGGAGGTCTAGGCCTGACTCCACCTGGCAAGTTAAGGTTTCTAACCCAGATGTCCTCCTGCTTGTCTGGGACCATGGGGAAGTGTTGAAGAGCCACAGACCTGCTCTCTGGTAAAAGAGCTTCCCAGACAGTGGGTCCCCAAGAGCACAGGCCCAGCTGAAACTGCCCAGGTGTTCAGGAACAGCCAAGAGTTTTATGGCTGGAGTGAGGTGAATCAGGTTAGGGTGGGAGGAGAGATCAGAGCTCATGAGGGCCTTGGGAGTCATCTGTGGTCCTTGGATTTTGCTCTGAGGTCATTGGAGGGTTTTGAACAGAGGAGTGATATGACCTGACATTTTACAAGGACAATTCTAATTGCTATTTGGCAGACTGTGTGGGGCAAACCTGGAAACAGGGAACAAAGTTCAGGAGATTTGCAAACATAGTAGTCAGAGGGCCTAGGTGGTAGCAATGAAGGTGGTAAGAAGTCCTCCAAGCCAACAGGATTGGCTGCTGAATTGTATGTATGATATGAGAGAAAGAAAGGATTCAAGAATGATGCTCCAGGTTTAGCCTTAGCAATTCCAGCTGCCATTTACTAAGATGGGAAAGAATGGGGATGGGAGCAGCAGGTTGAGGGAGGGTATCAAAGTTCTGCTTTGGAGATGTTAGGTTTGAGGTGCCTATTGGGTATCCACATGGCAATGCCAAGAAGGCAGTTGGAAATTGGAGTCTGGGACCCAGAAGAAGATGTCTGGGCTGGAGATGTAAATTTGCATACAGATGGTACTTAAAGTCGGGAGGCTGAGGCAGGAGAATGTCTTGAAACCAGAAGGTGGAGGTTGCAGTGAGCCAAGATCGCGCCACTGCACTCCAGCCTGGGCAACAGGAGCAAAACTCTGTCTCAAAAAACAAACAAACAAACAAACAAAAGATGGTACTTAAAGTAATGAGAATGGATAAGATTACCTAGGGAGTGAGTACTGGTAGAAACAGAGGTGGTCTAAGACCGAGCCTTGGCACTCCACTCGCTATCTAGAAGTTCTTTCAGGCAGATCTGTGGTATAGGAGAGAGACTCATTTGGGTAAACTGAGGCCTGGGTTTCAAATATGTTAACTCCTCCCTACAAAATTCCCAGCCTTCAGGACCTCAGATCCTTAAGAGGTGAACCAAGGCACCCCAGGGCCACTACAGGAAAGGAAGACAGAGGCCTATTTCATGTGTGACCTGGGCAAGTCACGTATCCCTCCCTAGGCCTCAGTGGTCTTTGTAAAAGGAGTGGTGAACGCTAGGTGTCTGAGGGACCTTCCAGCTTGCTTGCATGCAATGAGTTTTAACTCCAGAAAGTCGGTGCATTCAGCAATTGTGACTGGCCTTGAGAGACGGTTGAGTTCCTGTCTCATTCCCCTCATCTGGCTCTCGTTGTCTACCACATAAAGTTGATCCTTGCTATTCACGGATTCTGTATTTGCAAATTCTCCTACTACCTGTAATTTATAACTCCAAAACCAGTACTTGTGGTCTTTTGCCAGTCATTCGTTGACATGCCCAGAGCTTCAAAAACTTTAGCCCGCTGTGCTTGTTCTTAGCTGAGGTCAAAACCAGGCTCCATTCTGCCTTCTTGCTCCAGCTCTCACATTCTAAACAAGTGTCCTTTTCACAGTCTATTTAGTGTCACGTTTTTCCCATTTTTATGCTTTTTATTGGTGATTTTGCTGTTTAAAATGGCCCCCAAGCGTCGTGCTGAAGTGCTGTCTAATGTTCCTGAGCATAAAAAGGCTGTTATGAGCCTCACAAAGAAAATACCTGTGTTAGATAAGCTTCATTCAGGCATGAGTTAAAGCACGTTTGGTTGGCCATGAGTTCGATGTTAATGAATGAAAAATATATAGTGAATAAAGTATCTTTAAACAGAAACACACACAAAACAAGGCAATGTATTGATTGATTGATGAAAGTGGTATGACCAGAGGCTCACAGGACCCTAACTCTATATTTCCCCTTGGAATAATGCTTCAGTATTTGCTAATTCAGTCTTTACAGTGATTTATAGAATGTAGCCACTGCAGTGTGTGAGAATTGACTGTATTAGCTTGTTTTTTCAATCCCAGTATGCACACACATAAAGTAGTTTCAGAACTGCTAACCCATACCTCTGTGAGGAGCAAATTTACTTACTACAGTACAGTACTTGTGTATAGTTCTTTTTGTTTTTGTTGTGTAACAAAAGCCACATTCAATACAGTTCTTATCTTTAGTCTTATAGCATACACTCGAAACTGTTTTCCAAAGTTACTTCTGTTAGTTATTTTCTTTTCCATCTCTTTCAATATTAACTATATGGTTTATTTGTATTACAGTTTTATTTCTTAGTTTGTATTCCATTTTGGGTTCCCCCAATATTCGGGTCAATTTTTAAACATTTCCAGACAGTAAAATTCACTTTTTATGGTATGTGGTACAATAGGTCTTGAGAAGCATAGTTATGAATTTACTACCACAATCATGATAGAGAACAATTCAATTACTTAAAAAATTCCCTTGTCCTGACTCTTTATAGTCAGCTTCTCTCCCCACCACTAACCCCTGGCAACCACTGATCTATTTTTTGTCCCTATAGTTATGCCTTTTCCAGAATGTCATATAGAAGAAATCATGCAATATTCAACCTTTTGGGCCTGACTTCTGTCACTTAGGAAAACGCATTTAAGATTCCTGTATGTTGTTGTGTCAAGCAGTAGTTGTTCGTTTTTATGGCTGAGTAGTATTCCACTCTAGCACTGTTGGACGCACCACAGTTTGTTTATCTATTTGCCAGTTGAAGAATATTTGGATTATACCAGTTTTGGGTAATTATGAGTAAAGCTGCTATACACATTTATGTAGTGGGTTTTATGTGAACATGAGTTTCCCTTTTTCTTGAGGTGGGATTGTAGTCATATGGTAGGTGTTTATAAGAAATTGCCAATTTGTTTTCCAAAGGGGCTGTACCATTTCATTCCCACCAGTAATAATGAGAATTCCAGTTGCTCCACAACCTCACCAACACTTGGTATTGTCAGCTGTTTTTATTTATTTGCTATTCTAATAGGTTTGTAGTGGTATCTCAATGTAGTTTTAATTTAACATTTCTCTAATGACTATGATGTTAAACACATTTCCACATGCTTATTTTTCATTCCTATATCTCTTTGGAGAGGTGCTTATTCTAATCTTTTGTCCATTTTTTTTCTAGTGGTGTTTGTTTTCTTGCCTTTTTTTTTGAGACAGAGCCTTGGCCTGTCGCCCAGGCTGGAATGCAGTGGTGTGATCTTGGCTCACTGCAACCTCTGCCTCCAGGGTTCAAATGATTGTCCTGCCCCAGCCTCCCAAGCAGCTGGGATTACAGGCATGCACCACTACGCCCAGCTAATTTTTGTATTTTTAGTAGAGACGGGGTTTCACTATTTTGTTCAGGTTGGTCTCAAACTCTTGACCCCGTGATCCACCCACCTTGGCCTCCCAAAGTACTGAGATTACAGGCGTGAGCCACTGCGCCCAGCCTGTTTTCTTATTGTTCTGAGGATTCCTTCCTTCCTTCTTTCCTTCCTTCCTTCCTTCTTTCCTTCCTTCCTCTCTCCCTCTTTCTCTCTTTCTTTCTTCAGAAAGAGTCTCACTCTGTTGCCTAGGCTGGAATGCATTGGTGATCATGTCTCGTTGCAGCCTTGAATTCTTGGGTGCAAGGGATCCTTCCACCTTAGCCTCCCAAGTAGCCGAAGCTACAGGTGTGTGCCACCATGTCTGGCTAATTTTTATTTTTATTTTTGTAGAGATGGGGGGTGTCTCACTATGTTGCCCAGGCTGGTCTTGAACTCCTAGAGCCAAGGGATTCTCCTCCCTCAGCCTCCCAAAGTGCTGGGATTACAGGTGTGAGCCACCACACCTGGCTGAGGTTTCTTTAGATATTCTGGATAAAAGATGTGATTTGTAAATATTTTCTCCCCATCTGTGGCATATTATTTTTTATTCTCTTAACAGTGTCATTTGCAGAACAAATTTTAAATTTTGATAATATCTATCTTTTTTTTCTTTTATGAATCATGATTTTGGTATTTTATCTAAAAACTCGACTAACCAAGGTCTCAAAGATTTTCTCTTATGCTTTCTTCTAGAAGTTTTTTAGTTTTACATTTTACATATGATCTGTATGTAAACTGATGCATTTATTTATTTATTTATTTATTTATTTATTTATTTATTTATAGACAGAGTCTCACCCTGTTGCACAGGCTGGAGTGCAGTGGTGTGATCTCAGCTCACTGGAACCTCCGCCTCCTGGGTTCAAACGATTCTCCTGCCTCAGCCTCCCGAGTAGCTGGAATTACAGGTGCACACCACCACCCCCCGGCTAGTTTTCTTGTATTTTTAGTAAAGATGGGGTTTTGCCATATTGACCAGGCTAGTCTCAAACTCCTGGACTCAAATGATCTGCCCACCTCGGCCTCTCAAAGTGCTGGGATTACAGGTGTGAGCCACCACACCTGTATAAACTAATGCATTTAAAATTAATTTTGAATTAATTTTATAATAACTTTGAGAGGCTTAGATTGAGAGTCATTTTTTTGCCTATATTTGTCCAATTATTCCAGCACCATTGTTGAAAAGACTTACCTTTAAGTGGTCTTTTTTGCATCAGTTAAGAAAACAGATTGAGTTCCACAAAGAATTGAAATGGTAGAAACCTAAAAAAGCATATGGAAGGTGAGGGGATCAGAGAGATGGTCCATGTACCAAATAATTCAGCAGCTGCTCGAAATGAGAGGTGGTCAAGAGGACCTAAGTCACCTAGGACATTACAGAAATCGAGGGGAGGCTTTGGACTGCTCACAAGTCATTAAATGAAGAGAGGGTTGTTGAGCCAAACTTAGGCAGATCTTCACGGGAAGAATGAGCCTCCCTGATGTCCCCGTACCTGCAGCAGTGAGGTGTGTGACTTCCCGGGGCTCTGGCTCCTTGGAGTGGTGGGGTGAGGTAGATGCTGCAGCCTGGACTGGAAGCCAGAGTGACTCATCAGCCCAGGGTGAGCATCTCGGGGGGATGTTGTTTTGTTTGCTCTCGCAGTGAACCCCATTACAATAACAGCACCAAGGTGTCCCGGTGCTTTGACTGTTCTCTCCCTGGGCTCCTAATGGAGATTGACAGAATCTAGAGTCCAGGGTAATTCTATTGTCAGTTTCAGCAGCCTCCTGCACCTCATTAGACACAAGCAGAGAGAAATGAGCAAAGAAGGAATGTCAGCCTCAGAACAGAGGGGGCCTGCTAGAGTAAGCAGCTTTCAGGAGATGACAAGGTAGTGAGGAAATTATCCGGGCTTTCCAACTGGCCCCTCTAGGCTCTAGGTGGGAAATCGGGACGTCTGTGTCACAGCTCTGCAGAACAGAGCCAGCATGAATGGTTCAGTTTCAACTGCAGTCCCTTTTCTTTGAGGGACAGCATGAGGGGAGGCTAAGACAGACATCTTTTGTATTGTCAGCCTTTGTGTTAGAGGCTCCTTCCGGTGGTGGGGCCTAGCAGGGGAGGTGTTTCTGGGTGGCTTGGGTTTAAGTTGCAAGTGGATGGTGTCAGGGGTCAAAGCCTTATTTGATTTATCTAAACCTTTAGGATTTTACTCAGGATGGATGAACTGTATCCAATGTATAGGGAGAGAGAATCCTAGGCCTATAAGAAAGCTGGAATTGATCATTGTCCCACACTATATCTTGTTTCCCAGCCTTGGCCAGAAACACACACAGATTTACGTAGATAAACATGTAACATACTTATCTTAGTGTGTTCAGGCTGCTATAACAAAAATACCTTAGACTGGGCAATTTATAAACAACAGAAATGTTTTTCTTATGGTTCCAGAGACTGGAAAGTCCAAGACAAAAGCACAGGCAGGTTTGATATCACGTGAGGACCCGCTCTCTGCTTCCAAGATGACAGCTTCTTGCTCACGTGTTGGAAGGCGCAAGGTTGCTCCTTTCAATCCCTTTTATAAGGGCATCAATCTCATTCAGGAGGGCACAGCCCTCATGACTTAATTACTTCCCCAAAGGCCCCACCCCTTAATACATGACATTGGGTGGTAGGTTCCAATATGAATTTTGGAGGGAAACCAACATTCAGACCGTAGCAACACCCAACACTTATATATACAAGCTCATGTACAAATACACACAACACTAATGCTTCTACTCATACTTTTTTTTTTTTTTTGTTTTGAGACAAGGTCTCACTCTTTCACTCAGGCTGGAGTGCAGTGGCTTGATCATGGCTCACTGCAGTCTCAAACCTTGGGCTCAAGCAATCCTCCCACCTCAGCCTCCCAAGTAGCTGGGGCTATAGGCATATGCCACCACACAGCTAATTTTTAAAAATTTATTTAGAGACAGGGTCTTGCTATGTTGTCCATGGTGGACCCGAACTCTTGGCCTCAAGTGATCCTCCCATCTTGGCCTCCCAAAGTGCTGGGATTATGGGCATGAGCCACTGAGCCTGGTCCTCATAGGTAATTTTAAATACACAGAACACTAGACCAGACGTGTGCCAGTTACACATACAGGCAACACACACAGGTCCATGCTGAAGGCATTTCGCTACAGAGTTTTTGTCTGTGGCTTATGACATCAGCCTCTTTGCTTTCTATTTACATCTTGGATATACACCGCTCACACACACATTCACACCCACCCACCATTCTCACAATGCACAGCATGCACTCAAACACCCAAGCCACAAACATGTTCACATATACACACTCTGCAGTCAACATTTGCCCAAACATACATGCCTCTTCTATTTTCACCACGTGTGACCAGTTGTGGTCATTCAGATGCCTGCCCATCCTGTGTGTCACACCTACGTATGCCTCTCTGGCACACTTGCAACAGGCCAAGCCAGTGTCTGCACAGACTAGCAGAGCAGAGAGTGTTTTCCACCTTCTTCCTGTCATTGACATGCAACACCTGTCCTGTCTTTAGTTTTTTGCACTCTGGCTTCGACTGAATTGAATGCCAGTCTGCCTGGCACAGAGCCCAGCGCAGCAGCCCAGAAGCAATTGTCCTGTGGGCATAAGCCTCCAAGAGCCCAGAATGGGTGCACGCCAACTCTGGAGGCACCATCAAGGAAAGAGGCCTCTGTAGGCGCCCCCCACCCCTCATTAGTGCTCTAGAGGGCCATGGATGAGTCAGCACATGGCAACCTCTTTTCCTCCCTGCCTTTCTTCTCCTCAAAATTCTGGTCATTTGGGTGTTTCAAGGCCTTTGCCAAACAGAATGAGTGAGGCTTGAAAGAGATACTAGCTTAGAAAATCCACCATCAGAGTCTGGGCCATTGAATTTTCCATTAGCCTTCGCTTGTGCATTTCTGTAGCCTCATATCTAGAACAAGTCTGGAACAGTAAAACTTCACTGAATAAATACAAGTGTATGTTAGCCTATGAAATAGGACTAATTCTGCTTTGTCTCTCAGGACTATCTATAAATCATAAGGAGCAATGCAAATACCTTATGAGGAATTTTTGCTATTATTGTGATCAACACCAGGTAGGTAAATCATTTCCTTCCCCACTTCACACGTTTCTGTCCCTACCTACTCCTAGCGCCTTGAACTAGCTGTCACTGAGATAATGATACTAGTTACCATTATCGAGCACCTATTCTGCTCCAGGTACTAGACTAAGCACTTTACAAATATCTTGTTCTATCCTCTCAACATCCTTGTTAAATAAATATTACTGTCTGTATTTCATAGTCTGGAAATTTGAGGTTTTAAGGGGCTGAGCAGCTTGCCCAAAGTCACACAGCTAATAGACAGCAGAGACAGGATTTGAACTCAGGTCTTTGCTTCTCAAACTCATGTCATCCTCACTTCACCAACCTTACATTTATCATCATCAGCCATAGAATGCAAATTCTATCCATATTTCTATTGTTTAAGCCTAAACCCCCTTTTCCGTCTATGTCCATCTCAATTTTAAACTGTAAGCCAGGCTATAAATAGCAGGAACTATGTTTATTGAATTCATTTCATAGTGTTCAGCATACTTCCATAGTGTTCAGCATATTTCTGGGAAAATATATATATATGTATACACATACACACACACACACACACACACATATACACATATATACATAGAGGTTACTTTTTGTTTAAGTAATGGTTCCATGAATTTCACATTGTGTCTGAAGCTAAGAGACTAAATTCTAGCTCTTCTTAGCAAAGAACAAACTATAAAGAGATGCAGTCTGAAGGGAAAACAAACTGTCTTTCACTATAGCATACTTCTGTGACCAGATGCATGGGGGCTTTTCCCTACACACCAAGAAATTCTCCAGCAGACACCAACTGGGTGTCCTATAATTCAGTTCCATTCTGGCACCATCTACTTGCAGTGAGAGTCAGATCCCACAGCTGATGGCTCAGTCCCACAAGATTGCCCCCAGTTCAGGTGCCAATCACACGACTAAGGTTGTGACCTGTGCTTTTGACCAACCAACTATAAGTTGGGGTTCCCAAGACCCCCTCCTTGGTTTCAATTAATTTGCTAGAGCAGCTCACAGAACACTTACTTTACATTTACCGGTTTCTTTTAAAGGATATGATAAAGGATACAGATGAGCAGCCAGATGGAAGAGATGCACAGGGCAAGTCATGTGGGAAGGGGCGCGGAGCTGCCATGTGCTTTCCGGAAGATCCACCCTCCAGGCGCCTCCACAGGTTCAGCTGTCTGGAGCCTCCTGAACCAAGTTTTCTTTGGTTTTTATGGAAGCTTTATGACATAGGCCTGATTGATTACATCATCGGCCATAAGGTATCAACGCAACCTTCAGCCCCTCTCTCCTCTCAAGAGGTTCTAATCATACCATGGTCTTTCTGGTGACCAGCCCCCATTCTGAAGCCATCTAGGGGCTCCCAGCCACCAGTTTCCTCTTAGCATCCAAAAGACATTCTTTTGTCAGAGATTACAAGGGTTTTAGGAGCTGTATGCCAGGAACCAGGGACAGAGACCAAATCCGTATTTCTTATTGCATCAGGATAAAACACCTGGGTTTGAATCCAACACCATCACCTATTAGCATCACCTATTTGCTCCTGTCATTTTCTCTTTCTGGCCTCAGTTTACATGTTTGTAAAATGAAGTTCTGGATATGATGACCTCTTGGGTTCCCTCCAAAGATGACTTTCCAAGAGTCTGCTGTTTTACATGCTACCAAACGGAAGTGGAGATCTAAAATTTCATGTGCTCACGGAGTGGGCCACTCCCACAATGCCATCTCCCCTCCCCTTGTGTGACTGTCTCTGGTGGTCTGCTCCTGAAAGAGTACACAAAGTCAGGATGCAAAGTCCTCTCACTGGAGAATGAAGACACCGTTCATTCTGGTGTTTGTTCTGCGGAGCTTCCCAGAGCTGTAGTCAGTCACCTCACCCCGGTGCCAAACACTTGATGTGCTGACTACTCCCGTGCTCTTAATAAGCTTATAGTCCGGAGAGATGATTGAAGGGCTGGGAGAAGAGGGCTGTGGAGGGACAGGACCAGCTGAGGACGTGGGTGGTCAGACTCCTAGATTAACAAAGCCTACAGATGCCTGTTGACAGAAGGGAAGGAGACAGGTTCTCACTGATAGGAAGACAGCAGCAATGCAGGTACGACTCATGTGTCCATTTCCTGTCATCTGCAGGTGCTTGGTGAGACAGTGTCACCGTTCTGGGAAGAGCTAGTCTGGGAGAAGGAGTCAGGATACTAGACCTGTCTGTGAGGCACTGGATGACTCCAGGTGAGTCATTCACCTTCCCCCCGACTCCAACCCTCCCAAATCTTGGTGTTCTCATCTTTATGGACCTAGGTTCTTTGACACCTCATTAATCTGAAGGTGGAACCAAAGAATGCACACCATAGAAATGGCTACATCAAAGACTTCATCCCCAAATACATCTCTTCTGGTTCAAAAGCTTCTTGGAACACAAGCAGACCTGACCCTCCTCCTCTTCTGCACCCCATGATGTCCACCCCCTGCCCTCTGTCATTCTTCACTCTCTACTCTACTTGCCTTCTCTCTCCCTTGTGAATCTCTTGTAAATGGAAGTCCTGGTCCCAGCAGCGTGCTGGTAAATGTTTAACAAACAGCTTTGAGACTGGGGGGAATGCCTGATTTGTAGGGCTTGCCAACTGCCAATTGTAAATACTCCTGCCATGACTAATTTCAAGATACCAAATATGACATCATTGAATGCAGAGCCAGGAAAAGAGTCACAGTAGCACACTGATGTATAGTATTTTCACCATACACATAGAACAGGAGTAAATGACCTCAAGAACACAGATAATATAGTCAAAGAATTAAGAATTGATAACATTAGAGTATTTATTGCCTTTGCTTTTAATATCACTTATTAAATTATAAGTTTATGTAATTTACTTTTCAATAATGGTGTGTTTAACAACTGGCTCATTAAATTCCTGAAAAATGCCTGGTCCTCCCCTTTGGATCTTTCCAGATGAGACTGTACATCCCCAAATTTGCGGGAGTACATAGTTGAGGCCCTTGCTGTGGGAAGCCTCTCAGGGAAAATAGGAGCATTTATTTCTGCATGCCATTTGTCTCCCTTTATTAACTTTAGTTTCTCTTCCTGTTATATAAGACATTCCTTGTAGATTCTCCTGCCTTTGTAAGGATGGTATTGAGAGAAATGAAATCAGGGCAGTAGTAACACCTTGCATCTTATGGAATCTTCCAGTTTACTAAACCCAAATCTCATTACTTCTCACAGCAATTCTGTGACGTGAGGTATGTGGAGCAGTTAAATTGCAGATGAACTATTTCACACCAGGTTGGCAAACTGTTTCTGTAAAGGGGTAGAGGCTGGGTGCAGTGGCTCACACCTGTAATCCCAGCACTTTGGGAGGCTGAAGCAGGAGGATCACTTGAGCCCAGGAGTTCGAGACCAGCCTGGACAATGTGGCGAAACCCCAACGCTACAAAAAATACAAAAATTAGCCAGGCATGGTGGTGCACTCCTGTAGTCCTAGCTACTTGGGAGGCTGAGGTGGGAGGATGGCTTGAGCCCAGGAGTTCGAGGCTGCAGTGAGCCAAGATTGCATCACTGCACTTCAGCCTGGGCGACAGAGTGAGATCTTGTCTCAAAAAACAGTTAAAATAAAATAAATAAACAAATAAAGGCATAGAGACTAAATATTTGAGGCTTTGCAGGCCATAAGGTCTCTGTTGCAACTACCTGGTTATTATTGATTGAGAGCTGCCACAGACAATACGTAAACAAATGAGTTTGGCCATTTTCCAATAAACTTTATTTATGGGCTCTGAAATTTGAATTATATATAATTTTACATCTCACAAAATGTTATTCTTCTCTTGATTTTTTCCAACCATTGAAAAATATTTTTAAAAAACCCATTAACTCACAGGCCATATAAAAACAAGCCCTAGGCGCCTTTCTCCCATGGGCTGTGTGGGGTCCCTGTTCTTCGCAGCTAAGGCTGGAGGCCAAGATCAGCCTTTGAGGACTGTCATCAGAATTGCCTTGCTTTCCTGCCTCAGATGTGAAAAATAAAAACAAGCCCTAGGCAGAATTTGGCCTATAGGCAACAAAAGAGGAAATTAAGCTTCAAAGAGAACAGTGACTTGTTCAAGTTCATCTAGATCGGCAGAGTTGGTCCTGGCATGGTTCCAAATCCCCTGAACTTTCCACTAAACCCACCTGCCACAAAAGGTGCCCCTCCTGCTCCTCAACACACCTTCTGGGACCTGCAGGTGGATTCTCCACTGGGGACCTTCTGTAACCCACTAAGTGCTTTTGGGCCACTTTCTCTTACTGCCCGTTTCTGTCTCTTTAAGTGTGGTGAGCCTTCCCATGCATCAAAGTAAAAAAGAAAAGGCGTTTGGACATGTATAGTCAGGCAATTTGCTCCCCCTCCATTAAAGCAGAAAATAAAGAGCTCACTGTCTTTATGACTGTTGATTTTATGATTCCGTCCTATTTTGTCACAGGTATCCTAAATTTCCACCAAGCAGGGACTACCTGTTTGTTATTCTGTGTCTTCAAATGTCTAGTCCAGCACTCTTCCTGCAGGACACTTGGGAAAGAACTCGGTGACTAATGATTAAGCTCCCCTCCAGCCTGGCATTGTATAACAAGAGATGGGTGTGACCCACCTGTGTGATTTATTTCCCCTCAATATGTTATTACGAAAAATGTAAAAATTCAGAAGAGTTTAAAGAATTGCACAGTGAACAACCATATGCCCACAATCTAGATTCTATAACTAACATTTTGCTATATTTGCTTTACCCCAAATCTGTTCATCTATCCATCCACCAGTCTTTTCTTATATTGTGGACACATTTCAAAGTTACAGACTTTGGTACACTTTAACCTCTAAATACTTCAATATCATATTGTTAATTAGAGTTCAATATTTGTTTATGCTGCTTCTTATTTATTTTTTGACCTGGTGGAAATGTGAAAGACTCTGGAGGCTGCCTCCAGAATATAGATCCCCACCCACTCCACTGACCCCTGAAGAATTTACTTGGGCATTTCTTTCCTTATAGCCTTTCCAAAGCTTTGACAATCCATGCAAATACCTTTGGTAGAGATCACTCATTAAGTCCACTCAGTGGTGGCTGGAATAGTGGCAACAGCCTTCAGTCAGGCCTGGGTTTGAATCCCTCTCCACTCTGTCACTCATACTTGTGTGCCCTTAGGCAAGTTTTTTTTTTTTTTAATTTCTCCAAGCCTCTTCACATGTAAAGTGTGGCTAATAATAACTGTCTTGTGATAGGAATAGTGAGGACTGCAAATTCAGAGCTACCTGTAAATGGCAGCGCAGTAGGATAATGAGAAGAGATATTAACTGTGTCCATTTTCCTGACTATGGATTTGTCACAAAAGAATGAGAGCTACTTCCAACTTCACCCCAACTCCATTCAGGGAAGACTGTCCTAGCTGCGTACTAGATTTAGGCTCTTCTCACGCGGGTGGAGTTAACAGCTTCTCCATGCTTCCACTGTAATTTAAAAAGACAAAACAAAACAAAGCCCACCTTACCATGCTGAGGAGGATTTGGCTCCACAAGAGAGGGGAGGGAGGCTGCTGCTGACCTGGAACTGGGGAGTGGGTTGAATCCTGTGGCAGAATGTGGGGGAGTGAGTGACGAGGCGGCGTGTGTGGGGGTGAAGACCTGCGCTCCATGCCCACACAGCCACCCAGGACACAACAGAACCCCTTCTGGGGTCTGGGGGATGATGGCCAAGTTAGCATGGAGGAGAATAGATTGTGAACAGCCCTGACCTCCTCGAAGGGACCCTATAGGTTCAGACAATGAGCAGAAGCCTTTCTCCAAGCTCTGCAAATTGAGTGACCACCCTGTTAAAGAAAAAAATTGGCCGGGTGCAGTGGCTCACGCCAGCACTTTGGAAGGCCGAGGTGGGCGGATCACGAGGTCAGGAGATTGAGACCATCCTGGCTAAGATGGTGAAATCCCATCTCTACTAAAAATACAAAAAAGTAGCCGGGAGTGGTGGCACCCGCCTGTATTCCCAGCTACTCAGGAGGCTGAGGCAGGAGAATCGGTTGAACCTGGGAGATGGAGGTTACAGTGAACTGAGATTGAGCCACCACACTCCAGCCTGGGCAACAGAGCAAGACTCCAACTAAAAAAAAAAAAAGAAAAAAGAAAAGAATTATCCAAACGTGTGTTAAAGATGGCAAGGCAGACTTTATTCAAGGGAGGCCATGGCAGTAGGTATAGGGGCCACTGCAAAGATGTCTTATGGTGGGGGAGAGAGATCAGGCTCAGTTTCAACTCCAACAAGGGCAAGTGGAGATTTGTAATCAACCAATGGTCAGGGTTAAGGACAGAGGATGGAAAATTACTAGGAAGAAACATCAAGGGTAAGGGGTTTCTGGCTAAACTGACTTGACAGGATCATTGCTGAATGCAGGCAGGGGTGATAAAATATTGAGGATAGTCAGATAACAAGAGTGGGGAAATTTCACTAACCTGACTTAGCAGGATTCTTGCTCAAACTGGATTCTGAAAGGACATGGGGAAGCCCAAGGTCAGGCCTCGTCAAGCAGAAGACTCAGAGGCGCCGCCGGACTAAGGTTTCAGGGTGATGAGAGAGTCTTTGTCATTCCAAACACTCAAACCACCTTAGGGAGCATGGTGGAACGTCCTACCAGCTGGGTAGGTGGGATCTCAGAGTCATATCTCATTTGGAAAATTAACAATCCATCTCTGCAGCATTCACTCTTTCTTTTTTCTTCCAAAAATCTGTGTCTTGACAGATGTGCCAATGGGCAATGGTCACACGGTGGGAAGGAGGCAAGGACTCTAGAGGTTCTTCTACCAGCAGGTTTCAGGGACAGACCTGAGATCCCAGAGAGGAGAGGTGTGGCACAGAGTGCCCACCACCCCTCTGTGGGGAGGAAGAGAGCCCCAGGATGAAGCCAAATGGAGAGCGGGGAGCAAGCCAGGAACCGGCATCTGGAATCCCTTCACCTTCCAGCCGAGCCAAAGACAGCTTCTCCTGTTCCCACTCCTCTCCCAATCTGCTATTTCCTGTAGCCTGTCTGCTGGAGAGTAAAAAGACAAATGGAGCGTGAAAAAAAATTCAGCAAAAATAATTACAGGTTACAACAAATCAATTGGAAGTTTGTAAATAGCCTCAGGCAGGTAGCCGAGTCAGGATTCTGCAACTTAACACTGGCCCTCCCCTGGCAGCTCCAGAGTGAGTCCCGGTGACCTGAGACTGCAAAGGAGCCCTGGATGTGATGTCGGAGGATGTGGATGTGAGTCCCAACCCTGCTCTAACCAGCTGTGTGAATTTGGGCAAATGCCTCCACTCTTCCTAGCTTCGTTTCATCATCACTAAAGCCAAGATTTTGATTGTACCTACTCAGTATATCTTAAGGGCAGTTGAAAGTCAAAGGAGGTAATAGATGCAAAAGTGCTTTGGAAACTGTATAGTGCCAGACAAATGGAGCATCTTTTTACCTTCTGAGTATCTCTTGAATCCATCCTCCTCTCTCCATCTCTCTCACCAGCTCCAGCCCTGTCTCACCTGGGCGGGCGCAATGGCCCCCCTGCCGGCTGGCCTGTATTCACTCTAATCTCTTCAGTCGGCTTGCAGCCAGCACGATCTTCTAAAATCAAAACAAAGTCTGATCACGTACCTTGGGTTGTCTAATCCCTGAGAACTGGAGGCAAAAGTGGAATTGAGGGCTGAGGGTTAAAGGTAATTTGGATTAAGAGAAAGGGATAGAGCTGCAAAGAGGGGTGGGAACAAGGTTATACCAATTCACCAAGTATTCATGGGGGGTGCTGTGCTTGGTGTTGTGAGGTGATGTGAGTCTATTATAGTATCCTGTCCTTATGTTGCTCAACAATTCTGTGGGAAGACAGTTTGCAAAGAGAAAACTGTCGTCTCAAAGACCACTAGGATGGCTAGATGTAGAAGGGAGAGCTTTATTGGCATTATTGGTTTGCAAGCCGGAAAGAGAAAGTCTCTAATGTGGACTGAAGGTGCTCTCTCTTCAAAGAGGAGAAAGACAAGTTGGGTTTTATGCCTAACAGGGCCAGTATCATACATATTCAGCAGGTTTGGGGGGGAAGCTATACATATTCATGAAGGGAGATGACACATGCGCAATGGGTAAATAGATATGTTACAGACATCCCGTGTTCACTTTGGGGCAGGGTTTTAGCATTAAAATTTGGCTCTTTACATCAAAAGGTGAACTATAGGACACAAAGACAGTTTGTGCACAGCCTTTATAAGCTGCTGAAGCCAGCTTAAGGTCTGTAACTGCTTATCAGAAAAGAAGGCTTGTAAGGCCGGCCTTCTGTCCAACCAGAGTTATAGTGGTCTGGGTTTTAAATCAGCCTGCTAGCTCCTGTTGTTAGGGAATTTAGCAGTGGTGTGGTTTTTCTTATAGTTGTAGGAATTTAGAAATTTGCCATGCCAGCCAGGCCTTGAACCCTCCACCTGTAGGTAACTTTATTTCCTTACACTTAGGGTCTGTCTTAGCTGACACAGTGGTGTATATTTTGGCCTCTTGGATCACAAAACAAATGGAGTGAAAGTAAATGCAAAACTGTGTGCTTCTAATTGTAAAATACTTTTGTCTGTTGCAGAAGCTCAAGGAAGCTCATGGTGAAGCCCCGATTTGAAATGGGACTTTGAAGAGGAAGGTGACTACAACACAGAGGGAAGGATGGGCTTCTGAACAGGGGACTGGCTTGGGCTAAGACGTAGGGGCAGGGGGCAAGAGTGTGGGGAATATGCGGTGGAGAGAAGGTGCCAGCATGAAAGGGAGCTGGTTGGACTCTGCTGGAGAGCTGGCTGGGTGGTGGAGTCAGGTGAAGTAGGACTTCAAAGTTTAGCCTGAGGCAATGAGATCTAATTTAGACTAAATGTAGATCATCTGATGAATTATTGATTTGCTTCAATGGATAATTTCATAGCTCAGAAGTGGAAGAAGCAAGGAAGAAATGCACCACCCTGGACTTAACTCTGACTGGCCCCAGGGAATGCTTTTTGGCAATAGAGTGACCAGGGAGGGCCCATAGAGGAAGTCACTGTGTCAGCCTGGAGTGGGTCACAGCAAGTGAGGGCACCTTGAATATGGCAGGCATTAGTGCTAAGCTTGAGGAAAAGGCATTGGAAAAGGCCTGCTTGGGAAAACTGAGAGGTCAGGCTCCTGGCTGGAGACTTAGGAATGGTAGTGGTGGTTGCACAGGGAGATTCCCAGAAAGAAGATGGAGGCTGTGAAAATGGAAATCTGCCATGCAGTCACAAATAATTTCAAAGAGAGAAAGGCACTGCCTCTTCCCTACTTCTCTCTCTCTCTCTCACGCACACACACACACACACACACACACACACACGACACATACACACGCTGTCTGCTCCTCATGTCTGTCATTAGGCATTCAGGCAGTTAATTCTCCCAGACACACCACTGAGAGTGCTAGGAGCCTTGTAGAGTTGAAAATGGGTGTTGCAAGGCTCATTACAGAATCCCGGAGAAAGAGGATAAGGACAGGGATTTCCCCTCCCTCAGCCTCTGAAAGAGGCCCTGCACCTCCATTTCTACCCACTCTGAAGGCCCTGTCCATTATCCAGCCCCCAGCCCCTGGCTCCCTGCCCTCCTCTGACTCTGCTCCAGGTCCATGGTCATGCCCACTCCGTCTGGGTCCCATTTCATATTCCTAATATGAGAAAGATCCTGAACCCCCTAACTTTTGGAGTAAAGAGGGCAGAGGGGCAAGGTGACAGGGAAACAGCCTAGAGAGAATCCCAAACTGACCACACCACCTCTCTTTCCCATCAGCTCTAGGCCAGCATGGCTCACAAGGAAGCTGGGTGGCGTTTCTCCTCCTCTCCCACCATTGTGAAGGATCTTCTTGCTGCTAGAGTGCAGCGCCTGGTACAGAGCATACATTTCAGTGTTAAGTGAATGAGTGAATGTTTGAAGTGCTTATTAAGCACCCAGCCTGTGCCAGGCATTATCCTGCACTTGAAACGTATTAGTAAATCAAAGCCATAAGAATTCCTGCACGAGTCACGTCCACATTCTACTGAGGGGTGAAGGCCAATGAGCCAAGCACACGATAAACCAGTGCATTAGATACTATGTTGGGAAGTGTTAAGTGCTTGGGGAAAAAATACAGCAGACTAAGGGGGACGGGGGAAAGAGGGTGTTGCAACTTTAAATAGGGTGGTCAGAGCAGGTGTCATTGAGGAGGTGACATTTAAGCAAAACCTTGAAGAGGTGAAGAAGCACTGCAGGGAGTGTGAAGAACAGGAGCGAGGACCCTGAGGCGGGAGGAAGTGTGGCAGGTTGGAGACACAGCATGGAAGTGGTGTGACTGGAGCAGGGACAGAGAGGGAGCTGGGATCAGAGAGGAGCAGGAGTGAGTGGGCAGGTCAAGCTGACTTCCCCGGAGGTCTTCCTTGACCACGCTTGATAAGGCAGCCCCTTGGCCCAGCACTCTCCATCCCATTACCCGCTTTGTTTTCCTCATTACACCCGCACCACCATCTGGTGTATTCTGTTCTGTTCACACTGCCTGCCTCCCTAAGGAAGGATGTAAGGTTCGTGAAGGCAGGGACTTTACCCATTTGTTACCTGCTCTATCTAATGTCAGAACGGCTGGTGAGGGTGAAGAGGTCAGGATGCCTTCCACACCAGAGGCTGATGAGGAGCTGCAGCTCCTCATTCCTTGACTGCAGGAAACCCTTCCTGACCCAGGCTGATTATTGTCATCATGAAGGGAAATCTGTAGTGGTTGGCCACAGGGCTCTTTCATTGGCCTTGGCTGGTTGAGAGCAGGGATGAGCTGTACAGGCAGAGTCTTCTGTGAGGGTTGTCCCTGGACCTTCCTCACAGGCAGGCAGATGTTTTGCTTTTATTTGTTCAACAAACATTTGTTGGGCACCTACTATATGCCATGCACTGAGCTTACCGACTTAGGTTAGGTGGAGGAGGGAGGGACAGTTGGGATGATGCCACCCTAACCCTTTCCAGGCCCTCCCAGGTCCCAAGCTTCACTGGGCACATGAGTAGCATATGCCAGGTGCATGCCAGGCCTTGGGAATGCAAAGATGAACAGCACAGTGCCTGCACTCAATCAAGTTGCTGTCACTGTAGTAGATGTGAGAGACATGTAAACAACTGTCTGCAAATCCACTGTGATAAGTACAATGGCAGTGTATCCAGGTGACAAGGGGAAGGGGCAGAAAAGGTCTCAGAGGAGTGATGCTTGAGTTGAACTCAAAGTGGAGTGATATGTCAACTTGTGATCTGGTTTGAAGTACCCCAAACCCTGTTCTTGTTGAGCCTGGAATGAGAAGTTCAATTGTATGGATTAGGTATCATCCTCTTCTTTGGCGCTGAAAATAATTGGTGTTCCCAAGAAAGTAACTAACGTAGCACACAATTCTGAGATCGCCTTCTTACATGTGAAGAAACCAGGCGCCATGTGAAAGGGGTTGATGGAGAGAAAGGAGTAAATGGGGTTCCCTCATCTCCTAGTTCTCTGTCCCCTCTCCACTTTTAGTGGTCTCTATTTTTAGGTGCCAAGGCTGTCTAGGTTTCTCTCTAATCCTAGAGGGAAGAATTGATAAACACATTAGTAAACACATTTATCCTAATAGGCTAATGATCTGGGCTCTCCTCACCGCTCTGCTTTCTTCTCTCCCTTGATGCATCTCCTGGGGGCAATTAAAAGTTCCATCTCTACAAGCCTGATGAGGCTTCTGAACCCTCTCCTCACTTCCTGCCTCTGAGTCCAGCCCCTACCTACCATGTCCTGGCCTTGTAGATAGGACCTGATGAATACGAGGTTTCTTGATTTTAGCAGGAATTGGACAAAGGCTCCCATGGCTATGTTGTGGACAAAGTAGAAGAATAAGGCAGATGATATTATATCAGATGGAGAACTGATTGGTTTAATAGACAGAAAGAGCATTGGTAATTGTCATACTGAAATATCATCAGAATTTAATCAGTGGCTTGAATAAAGACTAAATGACGCAAAACTTAGAGGAAAAGATAATACAAAGATCAACAAAATCAGATATCTAAAGACTGGATGAGGAGAGACAAATCAGATTATCAGCTGGATGACTCCGGAGACTCTCCCTAGGTAACCCAGCAATATATTGGCCCTATAGGATGGCTTCAAGAACTCAGATTGGAGCCAATGCCGATATGCGAACTCCTCACTTAATTTTTCTGGGGAGACAAGCTATTTCTCATGCTGGCAAGGTTGTAACCAATTGCAAAGCTAAAGATCTATCCCTTCCCACATCCATCACTAATATGCAAGACAACGGAGCACAGTGATCCCTCTCCTGGATCACACAGCGCACACATGGCACTCTAAGACACGTTCATCCCAAGCATGCCTCTTCATGGGATGGCAAGGGTCTGAAAGGACCACATCCATGCTGCCAGCCTGTGCCTGAGTACTCACGCTTTGAGTCTGCATTTATCCTTGCCCCCTGCTTTACAAATTGGTATAAACAACATTTTAAAAAACCAAAAGATAAAATGTTATACAGACAAATATACTGCATTTGTGCTAAAAATATCAGTTATGTAACTATAGGAATGGGAAGACTTGGCTCTATACCTTGAAAAGGAACCATGAGTTTAGTGGATTTAGAACGAGTCAGGAAGTGACCTGGTGGCTTATAAGTGGTCTGTCGCTTCATTAACAGATGCAGCATCCAGATCTCAGGAGAGGACATTGTACTCATCTTGCCAGCCCACCCAACTGGAAGCCATGCTTAGTGTAGCCTACTCTAGGCACAGGAAGAGGCAGGGCTCACAGCTGCCACTGATGTATATGCAGAGTACGTACAAGGCGAGTGGAGCAGCCAAGAGAACCAGACTGTAGCAGGTTAATTGGCTGGGGCTGACAGATTCCAAGTCAAACTGGCCCAAGCTCATGTCTGGGATTCTAAAGCAGAAGGAAGAGTCAAGAGAGAGGGAATGGACCTGGATGACTGCAAGAGGACCAGGTGCAGAAGCCAAAACATACCATACTGAGGCAGACAGGAGCAGGTGGTTAGGGGACTAAGGCAATTACTGAGGAGAGAGGCTGATGAAGACGGAAGTAAAAGAAAAACAGGTTGGAGTGCTGCAGCTGAGGAGCCCTGCTGGCTGCAGTACCACTGTCTACATTATTTTAAAAACTATTTCTTCTTTTTTATAAAAAAATCAAACTAATGCATGAGTATTATTTTTAGTTTTGTTTTTAAAATTAAATCGTATTGCCACATCCATAACTTAAAAATTGCAATCCTCTGACCCAATTTTTTGAATTCCTGCTTTCTAGAACCAAATGCTTTCAACTCTTTTCTGTTTCTTCTGTTTTTCTCTCTTTATTTGTAAACAGCAGATTATGCTACTATTTCTTTTTTTTGTTTTGTTTTTTAGGTTTAGTTTTTTGGCTCCTGTATGAAAGATGAGGATTGTGTTCCCTCACACCATCCTTTCCCACTCTCTGGCCGCCTAATATATTCACACTATTCCTCCTCCCCATCCTCTCAATATACTATTGTTACCTTATGGGTAAAATCAATGCTTATTAATTTTGAGCATTGATTTTATGATGTTTATGATGTTATGATCATGGAAATGCAATTCACTGCTGATCTAGGGAATACAATAAAACTACTTTATGTTTTACCTGGATTTAATAGTTGCCTCATTGTTTGTTTGTTTCTTAGTTTTCCAGGTACCTATCACAGCAATTCACTGCTGATCTAGAAGATACAATAAAACTACTTTATGTTTTACCTGGATTTAATAGTTGCCTCATTGTTTGTTTGTTTCTTAGTTTTCCAGGTACCTATCACGAATTCATTCTCAGAATTTCTGAAAGAACAATAAAAATCATTGCAATATGTGCAAACATTAGGTAGTCTGTTTGTTTCTTTTTTCTTTTTCTACTCGGGGATTTCCTCCTAGTGCATTTTGTCCTTCTGTTACTTGTAAGTCTCTAAGCTTGCTACACAACTATCATTGGGAACTTTTCTGCACCATTAATCTGGAAATTCCCTTTGCCTCTTTTCTGTGTTAAAACTCCTGTTTTCTAGATTCTGTGTTTCCCCCCCTGCTTGGTTTATTCACTTCTTTTGGCAGAATACATCTGCAAGTAGCTTATTGTGAAAAGATAAGTGGGAGGTTAATTTTTTGAAATCTTGCATATCTGAAAATGTTTTTATGTATTTTAATAGCTTTTTTGAAATATATTTTGCATACCATAAAATTCGCCCATTTAAAGTGTATAATTCAGTGGTTTTTAGTATATTCACACAGTTATGCAACCATCACAATTTAATTTTAGAACATTTTTGACATCCCCAAAATAAATTCTGTACACATTAGCAGTCCTCCACCATTTCTGCTCACTTATTTTCCCTCAACCTACTGCTCCAACCTCAGGTAGTCACTAATCAACCTTCTGACTCTGTTGGTTTGCTGATTCTGAACTTTTCACATAAGTGGAATCATACAATACATGGTCTTTTGTGATTGACTTATTTCAGTTAGCATATTTTTTTCAAGGTTTATCTAAGTCGGAGCATGTGCCAGTATTCATTCTTTTTTATTGCTGCATAATATTCTAGTGTATGGACATACCACATTTTGTTTGTCCAGTCATTAATTAATGGATATTTTGTTTGTTTCCACCTTTTGGCTATTTTGAATAATTCTGCTATGAACTTTCATGTACAAGTTTTTGTGTAGACATATATTTTCACTTCTCTTGGGTATACATCCAGGAGTAGAATTGCTAGTTTATATTCTAACTCTATGTTTTGCATTTTGAAGAACTGCCAAACTATTTTCCAAAGTGGTTGCACCATTTTACATTCCCACCAGCAATGTATGAGGGTTCCAATTTCTTTACCTCTTTACCAAAACATTTCATTCTCTATCTGTTCTATTTTAGTGATCCTAGTGAGTATAGAGTGGTATCCCATTATGGTTTTGATTTGCATTTTCCTAATGCCTAATGAAGCTGAACATCTTTTCATGTATTTACTGGCCATTTGTATATTCTCTTTGGAGAAATGTCCATTCAACTTTTTTGCCAATCTTTAAATTTAGTTACTTGTGTTTTATCATTTAATTGTAAGAGTTCCTTATATATTCTGGATACATATGATTTACAATACTTTCTCATTCTATAAATTGTCTTTTCACTTTCTTGATAGTCTCCTTTGACACACAAAAGTTTTTAAATTGGATAAAGTCCAATTTTTCTATTTTTCTTCTGTTGCTCATGTTGGATGTTATATCTAAGAAGCCATTGCATAACCAAAGATCACAAAGATATATTCCTATTTTTTTCTAGAAAATTTATAGTTTTATTTATTTATTTAGAGACAGAGTCTTGCTCTGTCACCCAGGCTGGAGTGCAACGGTGTGATCTTGGCTCACTGCAACCTCTGCCTCCTGGGTTTAAGTGATTCTCATACCTCAGCCTCCAAAGTAGGGATTACAGGTGTGTGCCACCATGCTTGGCTAATTTTTGTATTTTTAGTAGAGATGGGGTTTCACCATGTTGGCCAGGCTGGTCTCGAACTCCTGACCTCATATGATCTGCCCACCTTGGCTTCCCGAAGTGCTGGAATTACAAGCATGAGCCACCATGCCTGGCCTGATTTATAGTTTTAGCTCTTATATTTGGGTATGTGATTCATGTTGAGTTATTTTTGTATATGATATGAGATAGAGGTTTAACTTTATTATTTTGCATATGGATATCTAGTTTTCCCTATTTTGGTGGAAAAAAAACCTCTTTCCCCCATTGAATTGTCTTAACACTTTTTTGAAAATCAATTAAACATAAATTTAAAGGTTTATCTCTGAAATCTCAGTTTTATTCATTTGATCTACATGTCGATCCTTATGCCAGTACCACATTGTCTTGATTATTGTAGCTTTATAATAGGTTTTGAATAGGGATGTATGAGTCCTCCAACTTGGTTGTTCTTTTTAAATATTGTTTGAGGTATTCTAGGTCCCTTTTATTTCCATATGAATTTTGGAATCAGCTTGTGAATTTATGAAAAAGGAATCTGGGATTTTGATAGTGATTGCACTGGATCTGTAGATCAGTTTGGGGAGTATTATCACGTTGACAATGTTAAGTATTCCAATCCATGAATATGGGATGTCTTTCCATTTATTTAGATATTTAATTTCTTTCAAAAATGGTTTGTTGTTTTCAATGTACACATCTTGCACTTATTTTGTTAAATTTATTTCTAGGCATCTTCTTCCTTTTGCTGTGATAATAAAGGTGATTATTTTGTTGACATCTTAAGTTTTAGATTTTTAATTATCAGTATTTCAAAATATAATTGATTTTTTGTATATTGATCTTGCATCCTGATGCATTGCTGAACACATTTATTAGTTCCAATATTTTTTAGTGTATTTCTTAAGATTTTCTATATACAAGATGATGTCATCTGCAAATATAATTTTATCTCTTTTTTTTCCAAGATAGATTACTTCAATTTCTTTTTCTTAACCTGTTGACCAGGAAGAACCTCCAGTATAATGTTGAAAAGAATTGATGAGAGCAGATATCCTTGTTTTGTTCCTGATCTTAGGGAGAAAACATCCAGTCTTGTGACATTAAGTATGACATTAGCTGTGGGTTTTCCAGAGATGTCCCTTATCACATTAAAGAACTTCCCTTCTTTTCCTAGGTGGTTGAGTATTCTAATTATAAAAGGCTGTTGGATTTGTCAAATGCTTTTTCTTTGTCTATTGAGATGATCATATGGTTTTTATCTTTGATTCTATTAATATGATGTATTACATTGGTTGATTTTAGTATGCTAAATCAACATACTAAATCTCATTTGGTCACAGTGTATAATCCTTACATATATTGCTAAAAATTGGCTTGCTAGTACTTTGTTAAGTATGTTTGCATTAATAATCATAAGGGATATTGGTTTGTAGTTTTCTTTTTTTTTGTGATGTCTTTGATTTTGGTATCAGGGCAATATTGGCCTCATAGAATGAGTTTGGAAGTGTGCTTTACATATTCTTACACTTGTTTACTGTTTAATTTGAAAAGGATTTTCCCTTAGAATATAGGCTGGCAAAGTTTTTCTGTTAAAAAAAAATGGTAACAAATATTTTAGATTTTGGGGACCACACATGATCTCTGTAACATATTCTTCTTTGGTTTTGTTTATGTTTTTCTTTCTATAACTCTTAAAAATTGAAAAACCATTCTTAGCTCAGGAGCCATAGAAAATCAATCTGCGGTCTGGATTTGGCTCTCAGGCCACAACTGGCCAACCCCTGCTTTAGAATTATGAAGGCATCGCTCCATTGTCTTCTAGTATTTTTCCTCATCCTTTCTATGTAAACTTTGTTGTTGTTGTTTTGTTTTGTTTTCTCTCTGGAACCATTTAGAGTCTTCCATTTATCTCTGGTTTCTGGAAGTTTCTCAAAGATGTTCTCTGTTGTTTGTCTTTTTTATTCATGTACTAGAAAATCTGTCAATATGAAAACTGTCAACGTGGCAATTCATATCCCTTTAGATCTGGAAAAAAATTTAACTATTATTTCTTTGCTAATGTCTTCCCCCATTTTGCTATTCTCTCCTTCCTGAACTCCTATTACTCAAAATTAATCCTCTAATTTTCTTAACTCTTCTCTGTCTCCTGTCCCCAGTCCCCACTCATCCCTGCATCTGTTGTCTTTTTATTCTGAGTCTTGGGAGACTTCCTCAGCTTTATTTTTCAACTCGCTTTTAAATTTTGAAATTCCTGCCATATATATATTTAATTCCAAGAACTCTTTCTTATTCTCTGAATGTTTTCTTTTATAGAATCCTATTTTTGTTTCATGGATGCTGCATATTTTCCTACATTTCTAAAGATATTAAAAATTGTTAAAATTTCCTTTTGCTTTTTTCATTGCATGTTTTTTTCTTTTTCCTTGTTGCTTTTACTATGGGGAGAGGGATGATTTGTCCAAATGTTTTCTTACTATTTGCTGATGAAATGCATGAGGCAAAAAGAAAATCTGAGGACCTCACCATCATGTCATTCCTCAGGTCACAAGGTCCCTTGCCAGTTTTGCTGTTACCCTCCACCTTTCAGAGTCTCCTTGGGTTAGTGTCATGTGTAATGTCCAGGGTGTTTAGATGTACCGAGCAGGAGGTATAGGGAAAAGCATGTCTATTTCATTGTTCCAGAAGCAGATGTCCCCAATCCGTTGTTTTTCCTATTTCACAAATGAAGTAAAAGACTCATCTATGCGTGCCCCAGATCACAGGATTTGGAGAAGGATGTGGAGTGATTACCATGGAGCTTTTCCTCCTGCCAGAAACCAGAGGGCCCAGAACATGTAAGAACCAGCAGTAGGGGCCTCAGTCATTCATAGGATGTTATGTGCCCCAAATCACACAGCAGGTAAATAGCAGAACTAGAATGTCATTTCACAAGGTATGGTTCACAGACCACCTGCATAAAAATGTTAAGTATGTCTGTTAGAAATGCAGATACCTTGGACCCTAGCCTAGACCTTCTGCAGAAGGTGATTTTGTTTGTGTGCCCTTTAAAGGCTGTTAAGCACTGCTATGAGAAAAAAGAATTCCATGATCTCTTGGTGCTCCTCAAACTGAGACTCCATGATTCTCTTGAAGCAGTCACCCCAGTCGCCCTGCATGGATGACAGCCCGTGCTTCTTGTTTAATTTCTGGTAAAACTAGCCTGGCGAGCAAGGCCAGCCCTGACTTACTGGAACACACCATGAGCCGTGGGGGTCAGAGAGCTTTCTCCATGGGGAGGAAGACTGGGAGGGGGTGCAGCGGGAAACCTAGTCAGAAGCAGCAGACAGTGGAAGACTAATGGGATTAATACTTGGGATTCATTAGCCAAGGATTCTGGAACTTTTCCAGTCCTCTCCAGCAAATGGCCCAAACTGCCCCCTTAATAGCATTAAGTGAAATTACAAATCAGAGACGGTGGCTGATCAATCTCCTTGGGGCTTCTCTACAGCTTTTGTGCAGTAGGGGTGGTGACAGTCCTTCAGTGGGGCGACTGGTCCTCTGCCAGCAGCTGCAGCACTTGCTCCACTTGGTCCGTTTCCCTCTTCCCTGGCCTGGAAGAAAGGAGCCAGAACACACAGGTCTGGATCACCATCAAGGCTTCTTCCTCACCCATCTCACTCCCTCCCGTTCCATAGCACAAAAGCCACCAGTCAAAGGGGAGCCAGTCAGAAGCAAAACGCTCTGTCCCAGAAATTTCCACGGTCATAAAATTTGGATTGGGGTGGTGTCCTGGGCAGAGGAACCACAGTAGAATGGTGGCAGGAAAGACTTTCTTTTTCAAACATAGCCGAGCCTACATGCCTTGCGAATCTTAGAGGCTCAAAGAGAGAAGAGGAGCCTTCATCCCCTGGGTACCACTTCTCCTTCCAAGTCCAGGCTCTGGGGCAGGGAACCCCCTCGGATGGAAAGGTTCTGATGGAATCTCCCCACAGAGGTCTTGCTGCCTCATCTGATCACCTGCTCACGTTCTCCACCTCTTTAGCCTAACGGATGGGGTTTCATGATCATCCATCATTCTCTCTCTCCTTCCCAAGACAAGCCTAGATCACTTCGTCACCCACATCCATCCTTTCTTCTAGGAAGAAGGATGGGAAATAAATCAGTCAAAGTTCTCCAGAGAAGTAGAACCAGTAGGATATGTAGATATATCACAGGAAATTTATTCAGGGAATTGGCTCACTCGAGAAGTCTCGAGATATGCTATCTGTAAGCTTGGAGAACCAGGAAAGCAGTGATATAATTCAGTCTGAGTATGAAAGCCTGAGAACTGGAGCTCCAGTGTCTGAGGGAAAAAGAGGATGGATGTTCCAGCTCAAGAAGAAAGTGTAAACTTGCTCTTTCTCTACCTTTTTGTTCCATCTGGGCCTTCAGTGGATTGGACGGTGCCTGCCTACATTGGTGAGGACAATGGTTTTTACTCAGTCCACTGATTCAAATGCTAATCTCTTCTGGAAATGCCCTCAGAGACACACTCAGAAATAATGTTTTGCCAGCTATCTGGGTATCCCTAAGTCTAGCTGACACGTAAAATTAGCCATCACAGGAAGATAACCAAGCCAGGTCCTGAAGTGAGAGCAGACGGGTAAGCAGTTTGTGTTGTTCTGCAGTGGCTGAGCCCCTGAGGGGACCAGGGCTGCTGTGCCAGATGGGGAGTGCCCAGCTCCAGGGATGCTTCTATGTTGGCAGCAATCATTAAATCTGCCTGCCTGAATCTCATTGGCCAGGCCTCGTCTCCTGCCAGGTACAGCGTCATTGCCCCTCACTGAGACCAATCAGCAGCACAGTCAGCAGTAGAGTGGGCCAAGAGCAATTTCTTCATGACATTTACAAAGAGAGGGTGGGATTTAGCACATTGTGCATTTCTCTGGGCTCCCTGACGGTCTGATGGCATCCAAATCCCAAAGGTGGTGACCACACATGTGAGCATATGCAGGGCCTGCTGAAGCTGCCTACAAACAGATGTGCATGTGTGAGGAAGCTCGGGTGTTTCTGGGTACCCAATAAATAATCTTATCTATAATACATCAAAACGGGAAATCAATTCTGGTAATTACCCTATTTTCTTCATTCTAATATACCATTGATTATAAGATGCATCACTGATTTAACAGCTGCCTCAAAAAGAAACTTTACAATAAACATGCAGGTCTATTTTAAGACATATCCCCATTTCAGAAATGTTAAAATGTGTGCGAGGAAGAGGGGAGATGCATATTATAATTAAGAGAAAATGGTAATGGGGAGATAGTCAAACCAATTGACTGATTGAATTAATCAGTAAATGCAGTGAGTGTGATTCATTGGAGGGTTTTCAGTGTGTTGGTGGGCACCCTGACTCAGCCACCCTGAGATAAATTATTGTGCTCCCCTCTTAGCCAGCTCTCAAGGGTCTCTTCCCAGAGTAACTCCTCATATTCATTGTCACGTCTGATAGTGACATGTTATAGTCAGGCATCTGATCCTAACTAGGTGACTCTCAGAAGAATTACAGGCAAGAAGATGCTCTCCTCTCCTTTCATCTGGCATTGACTTTTGAGCTCAGTTCCTCCCCTCTATTCCCCAGGGATCCAGATCTCCTGGGGTATCACCATCATGAGATGCCCCTACCTCTAAGCTCCACCAAAAAGCACTGGGCATTCTCCTCCTACCCGTTGTCCAGGTGAGGAGCGAGACCATTATCATTTGCCTCCAGTCTGACTCTCTTACATCTGTCCCAGTGCACCCCAGTATGGAGCCTGTAGCCACCCTGTCTGTCCCTATCTCTCCAGTGCTCTGGGATTCCTCTTGCCCCCAGTCTTCTCCAGTGCTGTTCTCCTAACCCTGAGGGCCTTGGTGACCTTGATCACCACCCCAACTATTGCTCTGAAGATGAAATAAGGTGGGCTGTGGACACATATTGGATCCTGTGATGGACCAACAGCTGATAACAGGCCAGCAGGACACCAGGAAGGTCTAAGGCAGAGGTGTCCAATCTTTTGACTTCCCTGGGCCACATTGGAAGAAGAAGAATTGTCTTGGGCTACACATAAAATACACCAACATTAACAATAGCTGATTAGCTAAAAAAAAATTGCAAAAAAAAAAACTCATTATGTTTTAAGAAAGTTTACAAATTTGACTTGGGCTGCATTCAAAGCCATCCGGGGTCACATGCGGCCTGCGGCCGTGGGTTTAAAAAGCTTAGTCTAAGGCTGGGGAAAAAGCACATTTTTGAGAAAATAAAAATCACAATTTTTTGTTTTTGAGACGGGTTTCACTCTGTCACCCAGGCTGGTGTGCAGTGACACAATCACGGCTCACTACAGACTCGACCTCGCTGGACTCAGGTGATCCTCCCACCTCAGCCTCCCAAGTAGCAAGGACTACAGGCGTGTGCCATCAGGCCTGGCTAATTTTTGTATTTTTTGTAGAGATGAAGTCTCACTATGTTGCCCAGGTTGGTCTCAAACTCCTGAGCTCAAGCCATCTGCCCACCTCAGCCTCCCAAAATGCTGGGATTACAGGCGTGAGCCACTGCACCTGGCTGAAAATCAGAAAATTTTGATCCACACTGGGGACAGGGAGTAACTGGTTGTTAACTGAGTGAACAACAAGGAGGATGGAGTGGTCTAGAGAGAAACTTAAGAGAAAGAGAGAGAGAGGCCATATGCAGTGGCTCATGACTGTAATCCCAGCCCTTTGGGATGCTGAAGTGGGCGAATCACCTGAGCCCAGGAGTTTGAGACTAGCCTGAGCAACATAGGGGGACCCTGTCTCTACAAAAACAAAAACAAACAAACAAACAAAAAATTAAAAATAGCCAGGCATGGTGGGGCACGCCTGTGGTCCCGGCTACTCAGGAGGCTGAGGCAGAAGGATTGCTTGAGCCTAGGAGATTGTGGTTACAGTGAGCTATGATCACGCCACTGCACTCCAGCCTGGGTGACAGAGCAAGACCCTCTTTCAAAACAAAAGACAAAAACAAAACAAAACCCAACCAACAAAACAAAACAAAAATAAAAAGAGGAGACAGTCTTTATGAGGGTGCTACAGAACAGCCCTGCTTTGAGGAAGGTAGGGCACATTTCAGGAGTCCCTTATGGTCTTTAGATTTCTAAATTTTCTATTTTTATCTAGTCTTCCCATCTTCCATTCACTGGTTCTCAACCTGGGTTTAAGGTACTGGCCCTGCCTAGGAGTGTTTGGAAATGCCTAGGAGAGTTGTGGCTGTCACAACTGGGCCTCTACTGCCATGTAGGGGGCAGGGCCAGGGATGCTAAGAAGCCTGAAGCTCTTGGTATTGCAGGTGGAAAAATTGCCTGTCCCAAAGACAAGATACAGATTGAGAAACACCAGTCCCTGCACTACCTCACCTAGCCTCTAGGGGTGCTCTTCTCCCCCTGCAGAGCTGGCCTGAGTTTGCCCTGACTCTGCCATCCCCTATCAGACTCAGCCTGATTTGGAGTTTTCAGATGGAAATTTCTAAAGAAACTTAAGAAGACAGATGGGAAATTATCAAAGAAAGCAACAAAGCATAAAAAAAGAGGAGCATCAACAGATTTCTGAGTCTAAGGAAGCTCAAGTCTATTTAGTCTAGTCATTTTTTTTTTTAACTCACAATTTTCCTGATTGAAACAATTTACTAGGTGCAGAGGCCTCATTTCTTTCCTTATGCTAAGGACACTACAGCCAGTCATAGCTCAGGCTGGCCCTGATACTGGCCTGGTAGAATGTTTAAGCTTTCTAGAGGCCAGGCTCTGGATCTTTTTCTTGGTGTGACCCAGAAAGACCATGGGCTCAAATCACTCCAGTCTCAAGCTGCTTTGGCCTTCTGGCCTCTCCTCAGTCTTTGACCCCTTGCACTAGCTCCACACATCAGGTCTTTCTGAGCAAGGTGTGGCCTTCTCTTTTGCCTTTAGAGTAAGTGTCAAGTAATGCTAGCAGCTGTGATGGAGTTCTCATCAACGCTCATGGTTCCAGACAAGAACAGTTGCTTTTTCACTCACTTACAGCCTAAAACCAATGGTACCAACTGGTGGCAGGTCTCCTCCAAGTGGTAATTCTGAACCCTAGGCTCTTTTCATCTGGTGGCTTCTCCATCTTCATTGTGTGGTTTCTCCACAAGGAGCCTGCAGAAGAGGAGAGGGGATGGAGGATTGCCTGCACGTGGTTTTCATGGGCCAAGCCTAAAATTACCACACATGACTTGTGCTCATATTCTACTGGCAGGAATGGAGACACATGCCCCCAACCTCCAGCTGCAGGAGATGCTGGGAAATGTAACCTAGCTGTGTGTTCAGGAAGATGAAGAATTGGGTTTTACAACCAGTCAGCAGTACATACCTCCACCTCCCATGAATGGGCTTCTAGAAGTCCTATTTTCCTTTTTCTCTACAATTTTTTGGCAGGTCTAAAGCAATGTCCTGGTTACGAATAAGTGGCTGGTTCCTCAAAAAGTTAAACATAGGATTATCACATAATCCTACAATCCTACTTCTAAGCTTATACACAAAAGAATTTAAAACAGTACTCAAACAAATACATGAACACACATGTTCATAGTAGCACTATTCACCCTAGCCAAATCCTTATCGATGCAATGAATGGATAAACAAACTGTGGTACAGATATACAATGGAATATTATTCAGCCATAGAAAGGAATTAAGTATTGATACATACTACAATGTGGATGATTATGCTAAGTGAAAGAAGCCAGACAAAAAGTCACATGTTGCATGGTTCCATTTGTATGAAATATCCAGAATAGTGAAACCCATACAGATGGAAAGAAGATTGGTGGTTGCCCAGAACTGTGGAGTAACTGCTTAATGGAGACCCTTTGGGGATGATGAAAATGTTCTGGAACTGGCTGAAGATGGTGGTTGCACAATGTTGTCAATGTATTAAATGACACTCAATTGTTCACTGAAAAATGGTTAATTTTATGTTATATAAATTTTACCTCATTTAAAAAAATGTTTAAATGATTCTAAAAGAAAGAACAAATGGATGGATTTTTTGCTTTGGTTTTGTTTTTAATGAAGCCTAGTTTTTACGTATTGTTTGTTGTTAATTTTTCTGGTCTGCATCACATAAGATGATTCTTAGCACTTGACCTGCTCCAGCAACTTAACTCCATCCTGTACGCCTTCTAAAGACATTGGAGAAGCAACTAATCTTTCCTTAACTCCATGGACTCTCTCCTTGGGTTTGGTTTCTGATCATATGAAATGCATTTCTGATACCTAGAATAATTATCTGTTAGAGTGTTCATTTGCTGAGCAATGACGATTGACATACCTGGGGCTTAATTATTTTTAAATTTAGCTCATAGTCTCACTTCCATCCACTTCTGGAGGCTCCTCAGCTTCTTTCCTCTCCTTCCTGCCCTCATCTGGTAGCTGCTCCCTTCCCCCACCTCTGGGTGCTGCTTAGGAGGTGGGGACCTATAACATTTTCAAGCCTTCCTCTCACCGGGTGCCAGTCTTTCCTGGGCTCATCAGTCTAGTCAAATATCCCCTAGTACTAAAAATAATTTTAAAAATCAATCTTATTCTACTTATGCTTCAAATAAAATAGCACTTAGCATGATGTTTTGTACTTCTTTTGATATAAGACATTTCATTCTTCTAGACTATAAGCTCTTTGATGGTAAGAACCATGCCTGAATTACGTCTATATTCTTAGCACTTAACACAGTAGCTGATTTATATAGTAGTTGCTCAATAAATATGAATTAAGTGAATAAATAAAATGTAATAGCATACAGATAAGAGAAAGGCTATTTTTTCATGTGAATAAACAACCCAATTGAAGCCATTCTCTTGTAGAGAGAGCAGCTTTTTACCTGAAATCAATGAATTGTTCATTCCTGCAGACCAGCACAAAAGAACCATTATCTAGGGCTGGCATGAATTATAAGCAGGCAGGCTCAAGGAAAAGAACAAGTTTTGTTATAATAAATGGGAGTCTAGAACTCAGTAAACAGTGAAAGGGGGCCAAGGAGGAGAGATCAGAATAGAGAAACCAGTCCCACTTACTGGGGGAGGGTAGGCAGGCACTGCTATGGATGGTGGGAGACATTCCAGCCAGGGCGTGTACTCTGAATGTGTGTGGGGGCATAGGTGGCCTATCAAAGGGAAAAAGAGAGGGTCCCAGCGGTGCTTGACCATTGTGTGTGGGTGAGATGGTGAGGTGCTGTAGCAGGCACCAAGGGAGAGCCAAACAGGCAGGTGGTCAGCATGCAGGGGAACTGACAGCGGGCTGGGCCCTGGGCAAGATTTCTGGGATGAATGATGGGATTAAGAATCCTGGGAAGATGAATGAGAGTAAGGCTGGGCCACAGCCTTGGAGGAACTAGGTTCTTACCAGGTTTCCTAGGCAGATATTCAGGCCCAGGTAGGGGTGTTTGGTGAGAACTTGGACACAAACAAGGCCTTAGAACTGGGTCATGTGGTCAGAGCAGGTCTGGGTGACTGACCTCCTGGACTAGGTAGGGCTCCTTAAACTCGCTATGACTGAGGCCTGAATTATCTGAGATTGAGATAGGACTGTGCATGCAGATGAGACTCAAGTGCCTCTAGTGGGGAAGGAGGGGCTTCAGGGAGAGTGGAGTCATTATAAGCTAATGGCGAAAATCAGACTTAAGTGGTTGCCAAGCTAATGGCGAAAATCAGACTTAAGTGGTTGCCAAGCTAATGGCAAAAATCAGACTTAAGTGGTTGCCAAGCTGGATTCAATGATGAGGCTGTGTACCTATAAATTACTCCACAGGATTTAATGTGTACACATTTTAAAGATTTTCTTTCCCCATAGCAAAGTAGATTTACAGTCTGAATGACTGAGCTTATTAATTCTAATAACCTTTTTTAGAATAAAAGTATATAAGAAGATGGGAAGTAAAAGCCTATGTCCTTAGGTCCAAGAAGGAAGAGGAGCCCTCTCTAATTCCTGCAGTGGTAAGAGTGCCTGGGTGTGAGTGAAGAGGGCCTGCTGCTGACCTCAGCCTGGAATTCCGGTTTCCAGTGCCTCCTCTCCCCACCTGTTCAGCAGGCACCCTCCTTCCCTGGGGTCTCCAGACCAGTAACACTCTCTGTTCTCTTACTCAATGGTTTGTTTGATTGATCTACTCTTCCTGGATGTGTTCAACTGAGATCTCAGTAGAACAGCTCCAGGCCAGTATCTGAAAGACCCTCAGTACGTTCTGAGTGGAGGGCTGCCTTGCCAGAGGTCAGGCTGCCCCCTTTCCTGCCTGTTATTTGAGCATGGTACTCTAGTTATCTCAGCCACTCTGTGAGCTACCCAGTGCTTTTTCAATAAACCCCCTTTTCAGATTACATCAGTCTAAGCCAGTCCTGATGTTTGCAATCAGGAAACTGAACAAATATAAAAATTGGTGTCTTAAGGGGTGGCAGGAAACAGACCCTCAGAGAAGTAAGTTGTGTCAGGGCTTGCTATCTGCCTAGTTGGAGCTGAATGCAGTGAAAACCCAGCAGGGAACTCTAGCAGCCTATGGCCCAAGTGACGAAACAGCCCCTAAAGTTACCCAGTGGTCCCAGACTGAAAAAGCCACTTCAGGCAAGGATATGGAGGTCCCATAGCAGATGGTCTTGGTATCTGCGCCATGTCCCCCTTGTTCTCTCCTGATTTCAGTGCAGCTGTGACGATCTTGTTCAAGCGTGTGCCAGTTTCTCTTTCTGCTTTCTTGCCTCAAGCCTTTCTCCAAAGCCAGGAAAGACCCCTCAGAGGCCATCAGGGCAGCTAGCCCCTGAGTGGGGGGAAACTTACCATCCCTGAGGGCAAACCTCAACCCAAGTGGGATGGGAGCTGGTGGATAAATGTTCCGATTCCTTTCCATCCCAGGACAATTCTGAGGTGCCTTCTGCAACGTGCTTCAGAAGACCCCCAGTGGGAATGAGCCCACACATTGAGGAGCTCAGTCATGCTCCCTTTGTTATAGTAATTTTCCATCCTTTCCTGTCTCCCTCCCACTGCTCCCTCGTCTGCTTTTTGACAGACAGCCCAGATAAACGACCTGCAGCCAAATCTGTGTCTCGAGCTTTCTTTCAGGAGAGCCCAAGCTACTACCTGAAAATGTGACAAGAGAAGAGGAGTTAAAGGACTAAGTGGGAGATGGGAGATGGGGGGTTGGCAGTAGCGTTGCTTCTTCCAGCACTGGGAAGCTTAAGGAGAAAATGAAAAACTCAAACTCATGAATTTCAGCCCAAGGCATAGGCAGAAACCCAGGGACTTTCTAAGACCTACTGAATGGGGTTCATATTTATTTATTTTTAGAAACAAGGTCTTATTATGATGGCAGTGGCTGTTGCCATCACGCTGGCTGCAGCAGGGAGGCGCAGCTGGGGCCGCATACTCCATGGAGCCAGTGGGAGCCCCGCCCCTTCTGAGTTGGGACGCGAGCTCCCTGGGTGCTGCTGTAGCCGCCCAACCCGCAGCTACAGACCCACGCCTCCTGCTGTATGGAGCGGGCAGGAACCCCAGCCTCCTGGGTGGGGCTGCAGGCGCCCAAACTGCAGCTGTGAATGGGAGCCTCCCTGTGCCCTTCCGGGAGGGCCAGGAGCAGGCAGGATCTGCCTTCCCTGGTGCGGCTGCCACGCCCTCCCAGGCTCAGGAGCCGGGTGTCTCTGCAGCCTGCACCCTCGGGGCCCCAGGAGGAACCTCTGTCCCTGCAGGTTCCGGGGTGTCTTCTCCTGCTGCCTGGCCCCTCTCCACTCCCGGCACCTGCTCTGATCTTGGAGCCGGGGTTGGGGCCGAGCCTGGGGGCTATGAATGGCAGCAGAAGGCAGATTGATTCCTGGGCGGGGAAGAGGGGGAGTCCCCAGTAAGGCCCCACCTTTGGGTCAGGGAGGGCCTGAAGGCTGGGGGCTGGGCTGCCAGTCCTGCTGACTGGAATGGGGACTCGTGGTGCCTCTTCTGGGCTGCCATTGGCCACCCCTGGACCTATCAGCATGGACGCACTTCCTCCCCGCTGAGGTCCATAAAAACCCTGGGCTCAGCCAGAGCAGGGCAGAGGATGGCCAGAAGACGAAAAGGGCAGAGAGACTGGGATGGACAGAGAGACGGATATGGGATGGGATGGCATGGGATAGGATGGGATGGGCGACTGGCAGGGAGGAACTACCCTGTCTGCTGAGAGCTTCAGATACCTGCAGAGATATCCAAATGACTTGCCTGCAGAGAGGAGCCACCCTCTCCAGGGCCTCCTCTCTGCTGAGCGTGAACACTCGTTGGGAGGACTTGCCTACAGAGAGGAGCTACCTATTCCTCTGAGCTGTTCTAACACTAAATAAAACTCTTCTCCTTTTTCACCCTTCACTTGTCTGCGTACTCATTCTTCCTGGATGCAGGACAAGAACTTAGACAAAAGTGCTGTGGCCACAGAGGTTTCCAGCCAAAAAAATCGACACCCCAGAGATCCCGTAACAATTATGTTGCTCAGGCTGGTCTTGAACTCCTGGCCTCAAGCATCCTCCCGCCTCTCAAGTAGCTAGGATTACAGGCATATGCCACCACACTCAGTTCAGAATGATGTCTTATGGCTCATAGTTGCAGGACTGAGATAGTCAAAACCAGTCACAAAGTTTGATCCTACAGGTGGTCAAATTATAAATCTAGTAAAAAATCACAGCTTCTCCACATTTCTAATGTGAAAGATAGAAATGATTGATCAGAAAAGAGGGGGACCACAACAGTTGCAACAAGGATATATGGGAAGATTTGATTGGGCTCGTAGTACCTTGAGCTTCTCACCCAGGCTGAGCCTGTCTTGCCAAAAGCAGTAGCTCCTCCCCTTCCGTCCAGTGAGGCTTATCCCTGCCTTGCTTGGAAACTTTATATGAACCCACCTTATGGAGCTACCTTGCAAGGGGAGGAGCCACTACCCTTTTTATCTCCATACTGGAAAAAATAATTAGAGACATTCCAGCATGGGACAGTGGTGGTGGTGGTGAATTACCTAGTTAAACTCTGGAGAAGAAAACATACACACCACAAGTGTTGTATGACATTATTAATTTGAATCATTAAAGATCTGGAAAATTCATGTAGGAATGGATTATTAAAAAAAATAAAACCAAGGAGAGAACAATAGAGTATTGAAGTACCTGGATTTGAAGATTTAGGGACATTTGCTAGAAATTCTACATTGAATGTTCTGTTCTAAGTTGCTAGGAGTGATTTTAATTCTGTTTGGTTAGCTGAAACATAGGCTCCACATTGATTCCCACTAAATGGAGTTGAGAAGCCAGAAATCCCTTGGATGTAGGGAAGAAATGCATAGAACTTAGAAGATAGAAATGGATTTATGTGAAACCCACCTATTCCCTCTGAGAAAACCCAGAAGAGTTTACTTTCCCCATGTTCATCAGGATGTCTAATAGGACACGTCCTGCTGTCGGAATTATAGTTAAAGTCAATGCTTAGAATAGCAGATGCTAAGTACACACATTCTAATTTTTTTTTTTCTTTTTTTTTTTTGAGACAGAGTCTCACTCCATCACCCAGGCTGGACTGCAGTGGCATCTCTCAGCTCACAGCAACCTCAGCCTCCTGGGTTCAAGCAATTCTCGTGCCTCGGCCTCCCAAGTAGCTGGGATTACAGGAACTCACCAACAGACCAGGCTAATTTTTTTTTTTTTTTTTTTAGATGGAGTCTCGCTCTGCCACCCAGGCTGGAGTGCAGTGGTGCAATCTTGGCTCATTGCAACCTCTGCCTGCCAGGTTCAGGCAATTCTTCTCCCTCAGCCTCCCAAGTAACTGGGACTACAGGCGCATACCACCATGCCCAGCTAATTTTTTTTTTTTGTATTTTTTTTTTTAGTAGAGACGGGGTTTCACCATGTTGGCCAGGCTGGTCTTGAACTCCTGGCCTTAAGTGATCCACCTGCCTTGGCTTCCCAAAGTGTTGGGATTACAGGTGTGAGCCACTGTGCCTGGCCACACATTTTGAATTTAGAGTCCACAGCCTCTATAAAGGGCATACTGCAGGGTACCACCCCCCCACCCCCATCCCCACAATGTTAGCCTGTGCGGAGTGTGGTGTACACAAGAAGAAGCCATTCCCTCTCTTCACACCCTTGTGGGAGAGGAAAGGAGGAGGGGTACTTCAAGAGGATCCCTTGTAGAGACAGAAGCAGAGAAGATGGCCGTTTCCTGTCCTGGCTGGATGTCTGCTTAGCTGACCTGAGCAAAGGAAAGGAGACATGGAGAAAAATGATAAGGTAAGGTGTGTGCGTTGTGGGGGGAAGGGGCAGTAAAGCAGCCTCCTCCCACCACTTGGTATGGTAGCAATCCAGGCGTTTCCCCATAGCTGGGTGGACAAAGCAGAAGGGTGAGGGAGCTGGTCTTCAGTGGTCAGTGACACCACACAGGAGGACTGCAGCCCACCAAGGGGTCCCGGCAGCTGGAGCCCAGAGTTGATGACATCAAGTGGGGGCTGAGGGGTGGTGGAGAAATGAGGCGAGCCCAAGTCAAATCTCCAGGGTCAGGGAAATGAGCAGTGCAGGGTCTCCAAAGGGTCCACCAAGAGCTCACGTACAGAGCAGACGCCCAGCATTTGATGCCTGCCCACAAGGGGCTTGAGGACTGGCCAGAGAAGCTGCAACAGTAGACCAAAAGAAGACTTCAACCTCACCCAGTGAACAAGGGAGATGTCTGCCTTTTTCCTTCTTGTTCCTCTTCACCTAATTATTTAATATCCCCAAACTCCAGGACTGGCAAATAGAGACCTGATTTGAGCTATGATGGAGGATCATGGCTCCTCACTTCTTTCCATCCCTGATTCAGTTCACGGACATGGAGTTTTTAGCAATGGGAAGGCCAGGTACTCTGGAGGGAAGGTGCCGCAATAACAGCACAGTAATGCGTTGTGAGTCTTCTTCCAGCTCCCCTAAAGGGGTCTGTGGCCATTTACCAGGGTAACTATGTATTGATCAAGGTAACTGAATGACCCAGACCTTTCAAGGATTATTGACACTGGATCTGGTATAACATCAATCCTGGGGACCCAGAACCCTTTATCCATGGGTTAACATGAGGCTTTTGAAGGCCAGGTGATAAATGGATTTCTACCTGAGTCTGTGTCATGGTAGACCCAGTAGGGCACTTACACCATCCCAGAGTTATTTTCTCAGTTCCTGACTAAACTATTGGAATAAATAACCTCAACTGGCAGACTCCCTACCCTGGCTTCTGACCCGTGAAGTAAGGGCTATTTCCACAGGAAGGACAAAGTAGGAGTCTCTGGAGCCCTTCCACAGCCATGGGGAATAGCTGAGATTAATGCTATTAGCTGAGATTAATGCTTCCACAGCCATGGGGAATAGCCAAGATTAATGCTTCCACGGCCATAGGGAATAGCCGAGATTAATGGCTTCTGCTTTGAGAGGGGCCCAGAGCAAGAAAAGGTTCTGTTGCATGTCCAGGTTGCCATGCAAGCTGCTCTGTCCCGTGCCTCTCATGACCCAGCAGATGCAATGATGATCAATGCTGTGGCAGATCAGGCTTCCATACGGAGCCATTGGAAAGTACCAATGGGAGAATCACAGTGGGGACCCCTGGAGTTTTGGGACAGGGACATCATTTCTTTGCTGTAACTATGCATGTAAGAAACAGCTCTTGACTTTCTACTAGGCCTCACAGACTGAGCACAGTATACCTGGTGACCATGCAACCCAAGTGGCTCATCCAGAATTGGGTATGATCTAATCAACAAACCAAGAAGGGCATGCCAAGCACCACCACATCATCAGGTGGGAACAGTTTATTTGGAACTGGGTCAAGCAGGTCCTGACAGCACGAGCGAGTCACATGTGCTTTACTCTCCCAACACCCCTGCTCCTGTTATACTGCCACCCCACGCACATACCTGTAGCTTCACGAGGAGTCCCCTGTGACCTGTTGACTATGGAGGAACAACTGCAGCCTGATTTACAGGTGGCTCCGCACAATGTGCTGGCATCACACAGGACTGCTGTGGCATTAGACCTGCCCTCAGGACCAGGCTCAAAGGACAGCACAGAGGCGCATCCTTCCAGCAGTACAGCGTGACCACTATTCTCAACAGAAGAGATGGCCCGAGGTAAGCGTCTAATGTGATTCATGAGCAATAGCTAGTGATTTAGCAGATGGCCAGGGACTTGGAGAAATCATGATAGGAAAATTAGAGGCAAGGTGGTTTAGAGAAGTGGTCTGTGGATGAACTCATACCCCCAAATTACAATAACTTGTAGTCTTTCTTCCATCTCTAATACATCTCCCACTCTGCCCTCCAAGCGATCTTGCTAGCAGGCTAATCTAATCATGTCACTCCCCTGACAAGAATTTTAATGGCTCCTCATTGCTTATGGGATAAAATACAAACCCTTTGCAAAACCTGCCCCTTGTCTATCTAGCCAACCTCATCTCTTACCACTTCCTTCCCTAATACTTTGTGCTCCAGGCTGATTCCCAAAAGCATGCCTTTTTTTCTTCAGGTTTCTGAACCTTTGTCTTGTTTTTTCCTCTGCCCAGATGGACTCTGCCCTATTCATCCTCCAGGTCTCAACTCAGAGGTCACCTCCTCCCAGAATTCTTCCCAGATTTGCCCAGGCAGATGCAGGATGGTTACTGTAGTAGACTCCAAAGCCAGACTGCTTCAATCCTGGCTTGGTTACTTACTAATCATGTGACCATGGACATATTATGTAACCTTACTGTGCCTCAATTTCCTCACTTGTAGACCAGGCAAGGTTGGTGTGAGGATTAATTAGTATATAAATATTATTAGTAATAAAATAATAATTAGGTTTTAAAATAATACAACATAAATATTTAAGTAGGACCAGGCAGGGTGGCTCACGCCTGTAATCCCAGCACTTTGGGAGTCTGAGGTGGGTGGATCACCTGAGGTCAGGAGTTTGAGACCAGCCTGAGCAACATGACAAAACCCTGTCTCTACTAAAAATACAAAAATTACCCAGGCATGGTGGCGCTCGCCTGTAATCCCAGGTACTTGGGAGGCTGGGGCAGGAGAATTGCTTAAACCTGGGAGGCAGAGACTGCAGTGGGCCAAGATCACGCCACTGCACTCCAGCCTGGACAAGATTCCATCTCAAAAATTAAAAATATATGCATATACACACACACATATATATATACACACATATGTATACACATATATATACACATATATATATTCCATCTCAAAATATATGTATATATAAATATACTCCATCTCAAAAAATGTATATCTCTATATTTATTATTTATTTTTATATATAAAAATATGTATTTTTAAGTAAATAATACATAAGCAGAAATATAAAAGCAGAAGTGGGCCTGGCCTAAAGTCACTGCTCACTATATGTCATTGCTGCCAGTGAGTGCTGTTTTCCCTACACAGCCCCCAAATTTTATGCACATGCCCAGGCAGACAGGGTAAAGGCACTCTTCCCCCTTGGTGTTTTTAGTTCCCAGCAAGTGCCTGGCACATAGCAGGCTCTCAATAAGTTCTTACGGGATGAACAAATGACGTCTGGAATCAGAATCAGGGGTACAGTCCCAGTTCTATCACTTACTAAAAACCTTGGACAAGTTATACATGATTAAAAGCCTCAGTTTCCCCATTGGCAAAAAGACAGCGAAAGCACAAATATTACACTGAACCATATGAAAGTGCCATTTTTGCTGGTCAAAACCAACTGAACATCAGCAATTTCATGTGATTCAATATAATTCTTCCAGCTTAGAGCTGAAGGGAGGCCCAAGTGAGGTAATGGATACGAGAGTGATTTATGAGCTGTAAAGGGCTGTACAATGTCACTATTGATTATTATCAAATATGTGTGGCAAACTAGAGATGATATATTTGAGTAGAAGAATCATTTCATTTAGTTCAGTTTGTATAATAAATAGCAATCTGGAGAGACAACTTTAAATTTTAGATTCACATGACAGTGTCATCAAAGCAGATTTGAACTCAGGACTCTTGCAGCAGAAGGGCCATGGGTTTGAGTGGGTCCCACGCCAGGGGAGGAGCACAGGGATGTCCTGTGGAGAGTCATGGATTGCAAAGAGGCAGTGGCCTGCTTGTCTGCCTGCCTGTTTGCATTTAGCATTCTATGGCTCTTGGAACCCCCTCGGGGATTTTTCCAGCACTCTATTTCCTCCAAGAGCACACACTATATTTGTTCACACTCACTCCACCTCTCCCAGACTCCCAAGGTGACAGCCTCCCTGGAATTCTTGATGCAGCAGGAGCTCCACAGGTGAGTGTCAATATGCACAGGTCCACAGGAGCCCACAACTTCTAGACAAACCCTTCCATACCTAGGGATTCTGGTGAAAGAGATCTGTTTGCAGACTTGGCCTTCTCCCAGAAAATGCCCTTCTTGCTGTCCTTTTCTTGGCTCAGATGGGTGACTATGTCAGATATGATATGAGGAGAGGGGTTGTGCTTGATGGACTTCTGAGATCCTGGCAGCCAAGCAGAGTCAGTGTCTAGCAGAATCAACACCAAGCTTGCTTCTATATTCAGAGCCCCTTAGTTGCAACTTTTATCTTTTGCCCTCTGGAATTTCCTATATAAAAAAGACTTTCCTATGTAAAAAAGACCTCTGGCCAGGTGTGGTAGCTCATGCCTGTAATCCCCACTTTGGGAGGCCAACACAGGCAGATCACTTGATCACTTGAGGTCAGGAGTTCGAGACCAGCCTGGCAAATATGGTGAAACCCCATCTCTACTAAAAAACAAACAAAACAACAACAACAAAAAAAAAGAACAAGAAAATAAAAACCTAGCTGGGTGTGGTGGCATATGCCTGTAATCCCAGCTACTCTGGAGGCTGAGGCAGGAGAATCACTTGAACCCAGGAGGCGGAGGTTGCAATGAGCCAAGATCACGCCACTGTACTTCAGCCTGGGTGACAGAGTGAGACTGTCTCAAAAAAAAAAAAAAAAAAGACTCTCAATTACTTAAACTTAGTGTGTATTTCATAGAATCATGCGCTGCCAGAGCTGGAAGGGTCCTCAGAGATCATCCCATAATTTACAGCTGAGAAAACTAAGATCAAACCAGAGTTAAGAGGCTTGACTAGAAACTAGGGTTATGGAATCCCAGACTAGTACCCTTGATGCTATACAATATATTTTAAAACAATAGCTATCATAATGTGGGTGTATGCCATAAGATAGTTCTGCGTTCACCTAAATCTGCCCCTTACCAGGTGTGTGATCTTGGGAGAATCACCTTCTCTCTGAGAGCCTCAGTTTTCTCATCTCTAGAAAACTTCTCAGTGTTGTAGAGAATGAAATAGCATGTGAAATGTCCACGATACACGGAGTGCTCATTAAAAGTAAGTTTCATTTCACTGTGGAACAAAAAGCAAACTTAGTGGAAGGATCGAGAAACAAGTAAGAAGATTTGGGGTAGCCTTGGTTGGGAGAAAGGGGAAGGGGAGTAACACCCCAACATATGTGATGTCAAACCATTTTATCCTGCTTTTGTATAAGACTGGGATTTTCCCCCAATTTAATTAAATTCAGGGAACATTTATAGAGCACTTATTATGTGCCAGACCAGGTTAAATTTTATGGGAACAGACTATAAGACAGTGTCCCTCCATTCTGGATGGTGAACATCTAGCTTGGAAGACAGATGGGTAAAGAAATAGCTGTGATGTTATTCTGCATTTGATGTGTGCTAACAGAGGAGTGTACAATGGAAAGGGCATTCCAGGCAGAAGGAAGAGTTTGAACAAGTGCCTGGAGGCATGAAAATCAATTGGAGAATGTATCAGGTAGGCATAGGCTTGGCAGCCAACAATAGAGAACTCAAAATAGCAGTGACTTAAGTAAGCTAGAGGTTTATTTCTTTCATACACAAGAGAAGTGCAGAGCTAGGCAGCCCGGGGCTGGTGTGGTAGGTAGTTCCTGAGTCATGAGGAACCCAGGCAATGCAAGATGACTGCTTAGAGCACGGACTCCAGAGTCACACTGGCCTGAGTTTTAGTCCTTTCTCAGGCCATGAGATTTTGAGGAAGTTACCTTTCCTCTCTGCTTCCTCATCTGTAAAATGAGGATAATAAAAGTATCTATCTTTGAGGACTGCTCTGAGGATTAAATGATTTAATAAAGGAAATGCGTTTTGAACAGAACCTGGTGCAAAATGGTGCCATATATATTTTAATATTCCGCTTTTCTGCTCCACATCCTTAGCACATGGCTTTCATTCTCAAGGTCATCTCACGGTCCAGAATGGCTGCAGGAGCTCCAGCCAACACATCCCAGTTCTGGGCAGCAGAAATAAGAAAGGGAGAGAAGGACAAAGGCCCCTCCCTTCAGCTGAGTCAGTTTCCTTTAAACAGCTTTTCAGAAGTCTCACATTTCACTTCTGTTTAGACATCACTGCCAGAACTTAATTGCATGGCCTCCTGTTTCACAAAGGCTTGGAATCATGGTCTTTTAGCTAGATTCTCTTAGAAAGAAAGAATGGAGATGGATTTTGATTGGCAATTTGCAGTCACTGCCACAGGAAATAATAGATAAGCTCTAATAGTTGGGCTCCACCTTAGGGGTTTAGGGTGAGGTCGCAGGAGATGAGGCTCAGACAAAATTGTGGCTAGCCTTGTCTGCCATATCAGAGATGCGAGGGATCTCAACCTCAGTAGGGAACTGAGCTTGGAGCTATTTTCTGGCAAGTCATCAGAATACAGGTAGTATTTGGAGCAATGGGGGAGTTGAAGATCCCTTAAGTATCACAGGCAGGAGTGAGAAGAGAGATGAGGAAAGAGGTGTATTCAGGTTCTAACATCACAGAGTGCCTGCCTAGGGGCAGGGATTCAATTTCTGATTGGTGAAGGGCAAGTATGTGAAAAAGGTGCCATCCTTTGAAAACTGTCTCCCCACATCTTACAGTACTGCTGCTGCTTTTTTTTCCTCTTACAACAATTGTGAAATCTTTTAACAGATTTTCATCAGTCTTAATATTGACATGCAATATATTACTTTAAAAAATGAAAGGTGCTACTTTTCAGGAATATTCTCTCTTGCACTTCCCTCACTCCCAATGAAGACAGAAGCTTGGAGAACACCAGCATCTAGAGGAGAGGAAAAAGAGGGGTTAATGCATGTGGTTAGGACTCTGAGCACTCAGCTTACTGGTTATGTTTACAGAAAACACCTGTATTCTGCACAAGTTTGCTAAGCATGGGGGTGGAATGGGCCAGGTATGCCCGCATTCATCCTAGCTGTGGTTGATGGCAGAGTGGTCATCCAGTTGGAGACCCTCTGGAAACCAGGCCTACATTTGATGCTCTACTTTTATGCTCAGGGTCCTAGGACCCTCCCCATTCTTTGAGAAGTAGCAATCACTTACTGACAACACTGGCAGCTTCTCTGCTGAGCCCTTTGTAGGATAAAAGGTCGGGTCAACTTTTCTCCAGGAGCTGAAATTCTTTGTCCTCAGAGCACTGCTCCTGACCTGGCATCCCCTGCTGCCTTCACCCAGGACAGCAGACAGACTAGCCAGGATGATGCAAGCAGGGTATCCAAGCTACATTTAAGTTCAGGGAGATGGAGATACATCAAGGAGATGGAGTGTATTCATTGTCTATTGCCGCATATCTATTTACCCCCAAATTGAGTAGCTTAAGATAAAAATAAGGAACATACATAATAAAAAATAAATAAACACAGTGTGTGGGGGTCAGGAATCTAGGAGAGGCTTGGCAGGGCAGTTCAGGCTTGTAGTGTCTCAGGAGATTGCACTCCAGGTGTAGGCTGGGCTGCAGTCATCTGAAGGCTTGATTGGGGCTGGAGGAGCCACTTCCAAGGTGGCTTACTTATATAATGGGCGTGATGGTGCTGGCTGTTGGCAAGGAGACCCAGTTCCTCTCCTCATGGACCTCTTCGGAGGATGCTTGAGTGTCCTCATGACATGGTCACTGGCTTCCCCCAGGGTGAGAGACCCAGGAGAAAGAGATTCAGGCAGAGGCTATCCTTTTTATGATCTAGCCTCAGAAGTCACATGGCTTCACTTCCACCACATTCTATTCTTTAGAGAGAAGTCTGGCTCACATTCAAGGGGAGGAGAATAGGCTGCACCTTTTAAAGAAAAATGTATTTTAAAAGTTTGCAGAAAAATGTAAAAACCATAATATAGGGATTGGACCTTGGGAAGCCTGAGATGAAGCAGGCCAGAGGTAGAATCAGAAAGGAGACTTACAAACTTCACCCTCAAGCCTCTAGGACTTTAAAGACAACGGTGGAAAATTATGTTGGGTTGGGTTGTCACTGGAGGATCCTGTGATCTAATACAGAAATTTCCACATGCCAGGTGGCTCTGATGTTGTCTCAGTAAGGCCTCTATTTAGTTAATGCTAATGCTCCAAAGCCCCCAGATTACAAATTGGTATTGCTGTCGAGATCTATTGCTTTCTTACTAGAAGGTGGCTTCTTCTGGTATGGAAAGGGAAACTAAAGCCTGGAGAGGTTAAGCAATTTGACTTCTAGTCCTTTATTGAGGCACAGGCAGTGGTGGGGAGGGTCCTGAGTCAGGCAGTCTAACCACTGACCTCTATACCCCATCTCTCCAAACCACAGTATCTCTCTCCTGATGCTCTGAGAAGCTAGCATTTGTGGGAAACTTCCAATATGCCCACAGTGTGCTGAGTGCTTTTATGTCATTTTATTCTCCTAACCACCCACTATGGTAGGTATGGAATCCCCCATTTTACTGATGAGGAAACTGAGGCAATGTATAACAGGTATAAGTAGCCCAAGGTTATTCAGGCACTAATGTGTAAGGCTGTGATTCTAAGGCAGACTGACTGACTACAAAGCTAATGTTCTTAATCCCTAGATGCTCCCACCTTCCAAATGTCCTGGCTCCTAGAATTACATCTGTTCTACTCCCTCCATGGCTCCATGGAACCTGGACATCTCAATTTCCTCCCCAAAAGCTGGAGTTCTCCAAGATGCAGAAGCCAGAGGGCTGATGTTCCTGTGCAGGAAGAAGCAACGCCCAGGCCCACTGCCCCCACTCTCTCAGCAGATTCTCATTTTCAGAATCCTGGAAACCAGAGCTAGAAATCTGCCTCCCTCTGTTTACCCTGAGTTCCAATGTCACCAACCCCCTTAATTAATGCTAGGGTGCTGGGTCATGCATAGCACGGTCAGCTTGGTCTCCAGTTCTGGCAGCAGCTGCAGCCAAGGTCAAGAACAACGGGGGCTGGGTTAGCTCTTACTCATCCACCTAAATGCCACTGCCCACGCTCTCCGCTCTCGCCCCTCCCGCTGAGCAGTGGCTGCCAGGGCGGCAGGAAGTCCTTCTTCCTGGGCCTGGCGCCCTCCAGCGGTGGGCGCAGAGCACTAGGCTCCAAAACTAGGAAGCCGGCTCAGCCTGCAGCAGGGCAGCTTGGGCAGCTTCACACCTAAACCAGCCTCTAAACGGGCGCACCTGGACAAAACCCAGTAATTTAGAAAAGCCTGTGTTTCTAGACATCTCGCACTGCCAGCATTCTCCATGAGAAAGGAGCTAATAGGATCAACTTTTCCTATACGCTGGAGACTTAATGAGTCCCTCACCGACCCAAGGCTGACCTGTAATCTGACAGATGACCACGAAAAAGAGGCAATTTCAAGCCTAAAGAAAGGACCCCATTATGTTGACATTTAGGCATGAGTGTGGGTGGCATTGGGGCAGGAGTCCTATGTGCTGCTCAAATCCCACCGTAGAGTCAACTGGCAGTGTGGCCTCTGTCTGACACAGCTCAGGCTCTCCTGCTCCGAGGGAGTTTAGCAGAAGGTCCCTTACCCCACCCAGTTCTGCAGCCCCTCTGAGAAGTCACATAGCTGATGCCCATGGGGGCTGGCGGTGTGCCTTCTCACACCTCTCACATTGCCTGTGGTTCCAGGAGCCAGCTGCGTTTAGTCTGATCTCTGTTTGTGCCAGTTGTACTCTTTTGTAATCACATATTTTTAATTAAATACTATATAACTTGATGAAATACAAGTAAAAAGAATTGTTTCTTTAAAATTTTTTTATTTTAATTTTTGTGGCTACATAGTAGGTGTATATATTTATGGGGTACGTGAGATGTTTCGATACAGGCATGCAATGTGGAATAATCGCATCACATAAAATTGGGTATCCATCCCCTCAAGCATTTATCCTTTATATCACAGGCAATCCAGTTATACTCTTTTAGTTATTTAAAAATATACAATTAAATAATTACTGACAAGAATTGGGTCTATAAAATTAGTCTGAATACTTTGGAAAGAGCCTCTACAGGCAATTTATCTTTAAAAAAAAAGAGTAAAACGTTTTCTATTGAGGTGTGGTTGAATTGTCTGTAAAAGATTAGTGGGAGTAGCAGTGGGGGAGGGGAATTATAAAAATCCCAAGGACTCTGCATTCAGGTTGCTACACAAGTGTTTTCTTTCTTTTATATATATATAATACTTTAAGTTCTAGGGTACATGTGCACAACGTGCAGGTTTGTTACATATGTATACATGTGCCATGTTGGTGTGCTGCACCCATTAACTCGTCATTTACATTAGGTGTATCTCCTAATGCTATCCCTCCCTACACAAGCGTTTTCAAGTTGCTGGGTAGAATAAAAATGAATCTCAGCTGATGTATTATGGGTACAGTTTATGAAAGAAAGATGAGGGGAAGGAAAGTGCATCTATACTAACAAAAAGGTCACGGTCTGACATCAAGAAATTAGCAAATGCCCATTTATAATTTTCAAGGCAATGTTTAAGGTAGGCAATATTTTTTGCATATGTAGATGGCAGCCTGTGCTTACAGAGCCTAACGAGGGAAGAGGCCACGGCAACCCCAAAGTCTAATTAGAAAATCAATGCATCCAGCCCTAACTGACAACGCTAATCATCTCTTTGAACTAAAGTGTCCTAGCTGCACTAGAATCATTAGAGCCTGTCAGCAAAAGATAAGAGTTTAAGATTTCCGCAAGGAAACAGGGTTTTTTACTCAGCAGACCTGGACTTAATCAATATTTCCAATATCATGACCCACGACCTTCCTCCAATTAACAAATGCTTATGCTTGGTAATAGACTTCACACTCTGGACTCCTGATGGCTTTGCCTGCTGTGAGGCTGCATCCCTCTGGACCTGCATGGCCATCTTGGTGCCTACAACTGAGTAGTGCAATGAGGTTGGAAGAAAACTTTACCAGGGAACCTGCTTTTACTGTAAATTCTTGACCACAGCCCTCAGATTGGCATCCAATACTGCCTGGTAATTGCATTATGTTTGTTTTCTGGGGAAAAGTTTAGCACTGTAGGAGATGACTATTTGATACCTTTTCTTCTCACTCCAAGCTTCTCACCTCTGTTCCTTCACTGCTTACTCTCCTGGAACAAGAGAAGCCATCTGACATGCACTGTCTCATCTTTCTCAAACTTTGTCCCTTTTCTCCACTCTTCGCTTTCTCTTGCCTTTCTGTTACAATCAAGAAAGTGCCATGAGGGCAGGGACCATGTCTGTGTTATCTTCAATACCTAGCCCAGTGCCTGGCACTTAGAGGGCTCTCAAAATTGATGAATGAACAATATGGCATCTGCTAATAATATGGCATGACTTATCAGGTCACTCAATTGTTTATGATCTTCGGGAGGAGAGGAGGGAAGACCATAGCACGTTGACTTCAGTATCCCAGATAATAAATAAAAATGGACTCAGTGCTGTCTTCATCATTTATGGATGCTGTACTCAGCTCGCCTTTCCAGGCTCACTCAAGCTTTATTTCATCTGTCACTGTGTTTGTGTGTGCTTCTCCCACAAGGCTGTGCTCTGTATGTCTGGATCCTCAGCATGTAGCAGTACAATGCTTGACACATACAGAGGTGGGGGCTCTGTGAAAGAGAGATGAATTGTTGAGTGTCCCCAAACCCTACAAGTCACTCTGGATTCCTTCTTTTGCTGCTCTTCTCACGTCCAATCCATGAGCAGACCCATTCACTTTTTATCTCTATGCAGGATCAGCACACTTTTTCTTATAGGCATGTGGAACATGGTCTCCATTGCAACTACTCAGCCCTACCATTATGGTATGAAAGCAGCCACAGACAACGTATCAATGAATGGGCATGGCTGTGTTCCAATAAAGCTCTATTTACAAAAACAGGTATGCGGTCCGGCGCAGTGGCTCATGCCTGTAGTTCCAGCTACTCAGGAGGCTGAGGCAGGTGGATGGCTTGAACTCAGGAGTTTGAAACCAGCCTGAGCAACATGGTGAAATGCTGTCATTACAAAAAAAAAATAAATAAAGAAACAAAAATAAACAAAGCAAAACAAAACAAAACAAAAAAGCAAAAATTAGCCAGATGTGGTTGTGTGAAACTGTAGTCCCAGCTACTCAGGAGGCTGAGGTGGGAGAATTACTTGAACCCAGGAGGTCGAGGTTGTAGTGAGCCATGATTGTACCACTGCACTCCAGCCTGATTGACAGGGTGGGGCATTGTCTCAAACAAACAAACAAACACAAAAACAAACAAACAAAACAGGTATGAATGGGATTTGGCCCCGTTTGCAGATCCCTGCTCTATAGTACTGCTTATCTCAAAACTGTTGTTAGCAGAAGAAAATAATTTTGGGAAATGAAGTCATCCTCAGTGTCTTCATTCTCTCCCAAAAGTAACAGGGGAAGGGTTATTTAGCCTTACATGGTCATGGGTATGTGCTTAAATTTAGAGGGGGATCTTCCCTTCACAGGTCAAATAAGCTCTTTCCCTGGCCCACGAATAGGTCTCCCATACCCTTCTTCCCTGATGGGCTTATGTATTCTAGACACAAAAGTTGGTGCCCAGTATTGCCACTTATTAACTGGGTGACCTTCCCTAAGTTGTTCAACCATTAAGATTCTGTCTTGTCTCATTTTCAAAGTTGGAGTAATATTGCTACTTTCCTCATTGAGTTGTCCCAACAGTTAAGAGTGATCATGCACGTACCTAAAATGCTTAGTACCGTGTCTGGCATAGAGCAAGCACTCCATAGCAGTTGTAGTGGTTATTATTATTATCATTACATATTGATATATATTTCTCCATATATAAACACAGCACAGCTCTGTGGTTAAAAGCATGGGCAATTGAGCCAGTCTGCCAAGGTTTGAAACCCACCACTTATTGATTGTGTGAACTTGGGGAAATTTCTTACTCAGTCTGCACCTCTGTTTATCTAACTTGTAAGGTTGTTATGAAGATTAAATGAGTTATTGTATATAAAGTGCTTTGAAAAGTACCTGGCAAACGGTAAGCACTGTGAAAGTGTTTGCTATCATCACCATCATCATTAACATCAACATCATCACCAGGACCAGGACAGAGTCCCAGAATCCCCTGGCCTTCAGCTGCCTTGGGGTCCAGGCATCATGTTAATTGCTCAACTCAAGGCGTTCTAGCATAAAGAGTCAGTGGACCCTCCTTCTTGCTTTGACAGCGTCTGAGCTCCCATGCCCTCCTATGCAGAGCAGGATTCAAAAGCTTCTTCCATTTTCCTTTCCATCTCCCGCCAAGAAAGCCTCTTCTTCTTTCCTGCCTGCTTTAAGCCGGTGGGTAGGGTACCCTCTCTCTCCATGCTTCTCTCCTCCCCTCAACCCTTCCCCCGAGGATATTTGTGTCCCTGATATTTATTTAGCTCCCATAATCAAACTGCTTGTGCTGTGATGATTGGAGTCATACACACTGAGTAAGAATAGAATTCGGTCATTAGCTTCCTTGAAGACCTTACTCACTACTACTGCTCACAGCCTGGCGTAGAGAGGATGGGGGATAAGGGGGTGGGGTTCACCCCTCTCCTGAATTCTTCCAGCATCCGCTGAAGTAGTTTACCCGCCTTGGCATTAAGTACTCAGACAACTGCCTCCTTTGCCCTTTATATCAGATGGACTCCGCTCCTACTGGCCGGTCTTTCTTTCTTCCTTTCTTCCTTCCTTTCTTTCTTTCTTTCTTTCTTTCTTTCTTTCTTTCTTTCTTTCTTCCTTCCTTCCTTCCTTCCTTCCTTCCTTCCTTTCTTTCTTTCTTTCTTTCCTTCCTTTCTTTCCTTTCTTTCTTTCTTTCTTTCCTTTCTATGTTTCTTTCTCTTTCTTTCTTTCTTTCTTTCTTTCTTTCTTTCTTTCTTTCTTTCCTTCTTTCTTTCCTTTCCTTCCTTTCTTTCTTTCTTTTTGAGATGGGCTCTCACTCTGTCTCCCAGGCTGGAGTGCAGTGGTGAGATGTCAGTTCACTGCAACCTCTGTTTCCCAGGCTCAAGTTATCCTCCCACTTCAGCCTCCTGAGTAGCTAGGATTACAGGCACATGCCACCATGCCTGGCTAATTTTTTGTATTTTTGGTACAGACGGGGTTTCACCATGTTGCCCTGGCTGTTCTTGAACTCCTGAGCTCAAGAGATCCCCCCACCTTGGCCTCCCAAAGTGCTGGGATCACAGGCGTGAGCCACTGCGCCTGGCCCCTACTGATTTAGAGTCTCCATTGTGAAATCTGTGATACTCCCACTATTCATGGGGGCTGAGCATCTTTTAAAGGTCAATGGATGCTCTTTAATTTTTACAGGTTTCTGGAGACATCTCCAAGTGATCCATGTGGCCTGATTAAGGTCAGCATGAGAGCAGTAGTTGGACTACTTCAGGCATCGGTGGAAGAAAAAAAAAACAGGATATAACACTGGATACATTCCCATTTTCCATTTTAAAACATTTAATTAGCGAATGGCATGGAAAACTCTTCTTCTTAGAAGGTATGAAATACTCCAGTTAGAGAAGAGTTAAAAGAAATACACCTCCATCGCACAAAATGAATGCTCTGTCATTAACAAAACTGTTATAAATTTCCTTTCTCTGAACAGTTGCTTGTTTATCTCTTCTCCCCACCTCCAGGCAGCCTTGGGCTTTTTCGAAGGTCTAACGCAGTTCGTGTGCAGTTTCTGCTTAGATTACTGATGTCAATTATCTCCTCAGCACCTCTGCCTCTTTGTTCAGAACTCCAAGTCTCAGAGGTTGGCCCTATTTCCAACTTGCCCCAAGTAGCTCTGAACTTCTTTCTAAAAGAGGTACTCCTGCCAGTGTCTTCCCTCGGCTCTTTCTCCCTTGCCCACTCAGGTTCTTTCCTTTCAGTAAGAGAAATCTTCATTTTATCATATGACTTCTGAGGGAATCAGGACTTTCTTCCTTCTGAATAGCCATCAAACAAAACAGAACATGAATTAAACGAGCCTCTTCCCACTCGAAGAAGGAGCTGTGTGCTGTAAGAGCAAGAGCTGAGGCTTCTTGGTTAACAGGATGCACGGAGCAAATAGAAAAGAACTTTACCTCCCCAGCCCCCACCCCTCCCAAACACAAGGGGTCACGGATAAAACAGAACTAAAGAGAATTTGAAGACACAGCCATACTCAAAATTAAGAGAGAGAAGTCCCCAGTGCTTGAGAAAGAGAGCGAAAACTCAAAGTCAGGGTAGTCAGAGGTTGCTGAATCCAAAATGACTCATGGAATGATCAAATCAACTGGGGCTAGAGTTCCAATACCTGACTGGGGAGTGGAGTCTTGGCTGCAGGCCCCATGTGGTGGAGTTGAATGGTCATAAAGGTAAAGATCATGAGAACTGGTGTACCCATGAAACAAGAATAAGAAAAACCCCACAGGCCATCTTGGAAGTTGATGAGGAAAGTTTGATGTTCACTGTGGCCATGGGTATATAACAGGTCTCTACCAGTCCATTCTTGCACAGCTATAAAGAAATACCTGAAACTGGGTAAGTTATAAAGAAAAGAGGTTTAACTGGCTCACAGTTCTGCAGGCTGTGCAGGTAGCGTAGCTGGGGAGGCCTCAGGAAACTTTCAATCACGGCAGAAAGGGAAAAGGAAGCAGGCATGTCTTCACATGGACGGAGCAGGAGAAACAGAGAATGGAAAGGTGCTACACACTTCTAAACAACCAGATCTCATGAGAACTCACTCACTATCATGAGAACAGCAAATCTGCCCCTATGATCCAATCACCTTCCACCAGACCTCTCCTCCAACACTGGGGGTTACAATTTGACATGAGATTTGGGTGGGGACGCAAATCCAAATTGTATCAGGTAATGATAGCCATTATGAATAAATTGGCATCATGAACCAAGTGATGGGCTTGAGTTCTAAGTTCCTACTACTTACATGGTCAGGAACCTCAGCTGAGAAATCAAAATTTAAACCAGCCAGAAGCATTTGAACCTTGTGGGGCCCTACAGATGCCTTGTGAGAAGTGGACACTTCTGGACACTTCCAAAGCCCAGGGCACATGGGAATCCCATAGGAGGTAATCTCCACTGAAGAGCTACTCACCATCAAATATTATAATCACAGAAGAAAACAAACCATCGAAAGGAATTGTCAGCAGATACATCAAATCCAAGAATTTATACCCCAATATCTAGACATAATAAAACCATTTGAAAGAAATTTTAATAAGTACCTTTAAAATGTTAAACTATTAAGGAAGAAAGAAGCACTAAGATGATATGAATAAGACCATACAACAAAATATGTAATTGTCAAAAAGAACATATAAAAATTCTGGAAGTAAAAATCCAATAGTGAAAACCTAAAAATTCAATGGGAGGATGAATAGCAGCCTTTTCAAGGCCAGAGAGAGAATGAGCTACGTTTTTAAAAGACTAGATCTGAGATAACAACCTAAAGTCAGGTTAGGTTAGTTAGGTCAGGAAGACGTGGTATGGGAGAATGTTGGCCCTGTTGGAAGCCTTAGAACCCATTTTTCAGGTCCAATAAACCCCCGGGTCTCCTCCTAGTCACTCCTCCTACCTCCTGGTTCACTAGGAATGAACTTCCTCATACACATTGATTTATGCATTCGCTCTTTCAATGTATTTTTGCTGAGTATCTACTATTTGTCAAGCACTCAAAAAGCTCACATGGTTTTCAACAGCGCTAGACATAAGAATCACACTGAATACCTTGCTAAAAAAAATGTGAATTCCCCGAAAGATTCAGATTCAGTGGTAGAGTCCAGGAAAACACATTTTTAAATTAGCAAGCCAGGTTATTCCGATATGAGCGATTCTTGACTCACACTTTGAGACACATTGGCCTAGTTCTTCCACAGGCTCAGAGTGGCTCACCATTTATTCCCTGTGCCACCAAAGCCTTCATTCTGCTCAGGCTTTCTGTGGAGACTGCAGAGCCGAGAGAGAAGGTGTGGAGTCTGGTGGCCTCATTCTCAGGATTGTGGGCCTCCTTCCTCTCCCACCTTCCTCCACAGAGGAAATCACAGCTCTGAGTGTCGGTGTGTTTGCAATGAATGGGCCCTAAGACTTTCTATAGGGCCAGCAGCCACATGCTTTTTCTTTGAGCCTGTTTGGCTGTTTTACTAATGGACTCTGATATTCTTGTCCCCCCTGCTGTTCCCCCTGCTCAGATATAATGTCTCCAGCTATGAGTTCTGATGTCCTGCCTTCACTATCCTCAGAGGAGATCATTGATTCTGCTTGGTTTCACTGGACTAGAGAGAGAGGTTGAAGCTAGGCTTTCTAAGTACAAGAAAGCCCACTGGACCACATGTACGCATGTGTGACAGATTTAACCTGTTTGCAGAGACACTGATGCCAGGCAGGCAAGCCCCAAAGTGGGGCTTAGTCCATGAGGGTTCTTGGCTTTGTCCAGAAAAGAATTCAAGGGCCAGCTGGTGGTAGAAAAAAATAGCTTTATTGAAGAGGTGTTACAACTCTGTGACTACTCCTGCAGCATGGAACTACCCCGCAGGCAGTGTACAGAGGGTAGCTCAGGGCAGTTTTGCAGTCCATTCTTCTTCTTGGGCTTTGCCAGCTGCTTGGGAACCCAAATTTTTTCTCTCCTTCTCATGTTTTGTTCTTCCTGAATTTCTTGCCCACTCATCTATGCCTACCTGGTCCTTAGCTTTTTATAGATATGGCCCACAACAGATTAGTTTCTCTTTAGAAAGACAGAATTTTCAATCCATTGGCTGTTGTATTTTAAGAAGTTTTAGAAATCATCTAACAGAACTAACTACCCTGCCTCAACCTTCTCCTCTCCATTTTACAGATGTGAAAATTGATATGCACAGAAAAAAAGTAATTCCTTGTGTTTATTCAGTTCACAATCAAACATTAGTGTATCCCTCATCCTCAATGTCAGTTAAACCCAAGGCAAAAATGTGTAAGATAATGTAGGAGATGCAATTAACGGGCAAACATTTGAAGAGAAGGAGGCCTCAGAAATCTGCAGATAAATTATCCGCGCATCTCTAAGAGTGACTTGGTTGTCGTTAGTCTCCTGTTTCTAAAAAGCACAAAATATCTTTCTTTTCACATGATCTCATTTATTTCCAGAGTAGTCTTGGAATTCTAGAGGGTGAAAGATAATTCTTCCCTTCTGCATGCATGAGAAATCAGCTGAGCCCCAGAAAATTCATTTGATCTGCCCATGGTTGTATTGCCAGGACTTTGAACCCAGGTCTCTGACTACCAGGTCCTTGTCCTTTGCATCCCTGGCTATTCCACTGTGAAGAGCCACTTTGACAGCCCAGAAAGACAGTTTCCTTCCCTTTGGGGAAGAAGCAGGCTGCAAAAAACACATCCCATTGGCCAGTGTCCTTCTCCCAAGGTGGAGGTATCTCTGACTTTGTTCTCATGGCTGACTTTGTCTCCTGATTTTGTTCCTTTGATCAGTGACCTGGCCAAGAATGTCAGGGTAATGGCAGGAGATTGCCACTGTAAGAGGAGAATGTTACTTGCACCATGTAGCCCGGGGCTCTGGACCATGGGGCAGGGACATGTCACTTCTAATTCTACACACAGGAGTCTGGGGGAAATCCCTTGGCTTCTGTCCACTCTTTCTGCAGCCCAGCTTTCCCCTTACAATGTGACCACTTACTGAGTTTTTTCTTGCTCTATTTTTTTCTTTCTCAAGATCCATGAAAACAGTCTGTCTTCTTCCCATTTTCTAGACCTAAGAAAATACCCCAGAACAGAAACCAAATAAATGGAGAGCAGCAATTCAAGGGGTTTGTGTTCTAGTCAGCTGCCACCCAGACATGGGGAAAGTCACTTAGACCCTGTGCGCCTTTGTTGTTCTGAATGTTCGGGGGAAAAGCAAAATATGCCTTTGCCATTTCAAAGGCTGATGTGAGACTGAAATGCGAGCATAAGTAGGAAAAAGGCGTGAAAATATGAGCACCATATAAACACAAGCATCAGTGGTTCACAGCCATTGTCATGACAACAATCAATCCTCAGCTCCTAGAAAATTTCTGCTAACCAGAACTCCTTCAGGGCTCCTCTTTCAGCAGGAAAATGATTTTGAATCAAGCTGATATTGGGAATTTATCTTTTGATAAAGTAACTTCTGTCCTGTGCAGTTCCTTCAGCCCCATCACCTTCCCTGTCTTTATCTACATTATCACCTTGAGACTTGGTCTTCTGGAAATAATCACCTTGAGGGCTTTTAAGATCCCCGCTCATCAAAGAAAGCATCAACCATGCTCACTAGGCTGTGCTTATGGTGGGAAGAAAGCAGAGTCAGACGTTTCAGAGAGATATGTAACGAGAGTTTGCAGAATAAAACTTAGTTACTTAGAAAGCTCAATTTACCAGAACAATTCATTTCATGAACATTCCAGTTAGTTGTGCTGCATTGTTACCTCCAAAGGTTTTCCAATAAATGTTTGTTGAATTGAAAGGAACTCCACAAACCTTCTCTTCTCACTCACTGGGGCTGGAGAAGAATGAAGAATGGAGCCCTGCCAGGGCCCTCCAGCCTGTGCTTCTCCCATTGGCAAGGTCTCAGTAGACAGTACTCTAGAGCCACCTCCCATGAGGCCCTGAAAGAGCCAGTAATCCCAAGGCATAACAGCATCCCAGTGTCCTATTGGCAACTAGAACCAGTCACCTAGCCAGATATGGGAGGCCCTTATTGGACCCTATTGGTTCAGTGACAAGAGGAGCCCAAATGGCCGGGAGGAATGTCAACTTCCAATTTAATGAAAACATGGCTGTGTATATGAAATGGTTTGGATTTGTGTCCCTGCTCAAATCTCATGTCGAGCTATAATCCCCAATGTTGGAGGTGGAGCCTGGTGGGAGGTGATTGAATCATGAGGGTGGATTTCACCCTTTGATGCTGTTCTCCTGATAGAGTTGTCAGGAGATCTGATTGTTTTAAAAGTGTGTGTCATTTCCCCCCTGCCGCCCCATTCTCTCATTCTCCTGCTCCGGCCATGTAAGATGTGCCTGCTTCCCCTTCCCCTTCCGCCATGATTGTAAGTTTCCTGAGGCCTCCCTAGAAGCTGTTATTCTTCCTATAAAGCCTGCAGAACCGTGAGCCAATTAAACTTCTTTTCTTTATAAATTACCCAGTCCCATTTATGTCTTTATAGCAGTGCGACAAAGGATTAATACAGTGTGTATCCTTGGGGAAGCATTCCTCCCTTAGGAACTAGGACCTCCAAACCTGCCAAGAGCAGGAGAATGTGCCCATCAAGGAAAAATGCAGTAAGTGTATGATTAGGTGTCATTGTGAGAGGCGTCACTCCCACCTCTTCCTCTTGGGTTTCAGACCCTTATATTTTGGCTTTGAGGAAAATGGCACTATCTTTTGGTCACAGGTTTAAAGCATATGTGGTATCCTATAGGATGACAGCCCAATCTCTCAGAGTATTGTCACCCAACTCAGGTCATAAGTGAGCCTCTACTGACCATTTTCCTTGTCTATCAGATCAGCTGCCTCCAGGTGATGGGTACGTGGCAAAATCTGAATTCTATGGGCATGAACCTATTACTGTTCTATTTTTGTATTAAAATGAGTCCCTTTGTCAGAGGCAATGTTGCATAAGATACCATAATGATGAGATTCTGTAGGTCCCCTGATGATAGTGTTGGCAGAAGAGTTTTGAACAAAGAAGGTAAATCTACATACAGAATGTGTATCTATTCCCGTGAAGACAAAGCCCTGCCCCTCCAAGGTGGAAGGAATTCGTAAAGTGAGGTGATAGGCTGGTTCCCACAGGGATTCTGTGTGAGCAGAGCTCAGTGTTTTGCTCTGCTACTGGCAAGCTGGGGACTCAACAGTGGTGATTGACAGGGAAGCCCTGTGAAGGGAAGTGAGTGACCATTTCTGCACAATGGCCACTATACACATGGGCTGTGGAGCAAGCAGCAAAGTGGCTGGGGAAAGAAGTCGACCACAGCTACAAGGGCTGTCATCTGATCTAACTTGTTTTTGGAAGCTTCCTCTGCAGTGAGTGCTCTCGGCTTAACGTTTCCCAGGGTCATAAATGTCTTCACCACCTTCACCTACTCCAAGAGTTTTATCCACATACTTTTTCCCAGATCTCTTTGTCATAGCAATCTCCAACTCCTAGTCTTTCCAAGCCCCTGACCAGTCAAGCTAACCTGTTAGCCACTGCCCATGAGACTAGATAGATTCCTACTTCAATCCACCTTTCCTTCCAAGCAAATCAGATATTTTGCCCAAATTTCTGCCCACCGGGAAATTTTCTTTATCACTGCCTTTCAGGGCCATCCCTGAGTAAGGTTATAGAGCATCAGCCATTCACTTCTGGCTGGTGCCAGGATACAAATAGACTTATCTATGAAGCAGGCCTACAATTTTTCCTTCTTCTGTTAACTGGTCAGAGAGAATTTCCCATGTGACCATTTACGTGGGTTGAGGAAGAGATGGTGAAATAGTGGATGTGGATGCAATGGGAGTCTCAGTCAATGTATCCTGTGCATCCCAGACCTACTAAGGCCTGGTTTCACATAGACAAACTCTACCTAACAATGGAATGCTGCTGCACACAGCTAATTTTATGATTTAGAGAATGAGACAACACTGAATTCATAATGAACAGCTCAGGTCACATAATCACTCGGTATCATTCAGTCAAATGTGCAGGATCACTTGGTATTCTTTAGTCAAAGTATCTGAATACTTTAGGTACCATTGGATCTGCTGGGTCATACGACCTAAGTGGTACAGCAACTTGTACATCGTCCTCTATTGCTCTGGGACCAGCCCTAAAATGGCAACCTCATGGTTACTGAGTAAATGGGCCAGAGTAGAAGACCCACATGTTTCTTTGAAAATTCAGAGAGATCCACCAAGTACTGGGCCTTTTTCTTTGTGATGCACAGTACAAAATGGAGAATTTAACTTTAACTTTGGAAGGGCTACCCCAAGGCCATCTAGACTGCTGAATCCCCAGGAATTTCATTCATGTGTCAGCATCAGGCTCCTACATGTTGTGGGGTTTCTCTTCCTCCCTCTGTCATGCCTATATCTCACAAAGCCTTCAAAGGTTCTTGGGGCATCCTGGCTCACCCATTGCAACTGACATAATGCCATCAATATATTGGAACAGCATGAAGTACTGTGAAGTATAAAGGCTACTCTGGATTATATTAAGATAGAAAGCAACAAAGTTGCATAACCGTGAAGATCATGAGTATATACTGCATAGACTGCTTCTGATTGTTTTTGCTAATTAAGATGGAGGGAAAAAATCATTTTCCAAGTCAATAGCTATATACCAGGTGGCATTGCTCTAGTAAAGATACAACCAGAGCAGGAGCTGTAGTCAGCAACAGTGACCTAATTGAGCTCAGACAATCCATAGTAATTATCCACAACCCATATGATGCTTCCCCTAACCAAGTAGGTATTAAACAGGGATATGGATATGATTGGAGCCACCATCCTCTCTCTCTCTCTTTTTTTTTTTTTGATACAGTCTCACTCTGTCACTCAGGCTAGAGTGCAGTGGCAGGATCTTGGCTCACCACAACCTCCACCTCCCCAGTTCAAGGAATTCTCATGCCTCAGCCTCCTGAGTAGCTGGGATTACAGGCGTGTGCCACCATGCCGGATAATTTTTGTATTTTTACCAACATGGTTTCACCATGTTGGCCAGGCTGGTCTCCAACTCCTGACCTCAAGTGACCCGCTTGCTATGGCCTCCCAAAATGCTGAGATTACAAGCGTGAGCCACCGCACCCAGCCCATCCCTTCATCTTTTAAGGTTTTGATGGTGACTCTAACCTCCAAATACCCTCAGGAATGTGGCATCGCTTTTAGTTTATTATTTTTAGCGGGTGGGAAGATAAATAATGTCAGCTTCCCAGAGGCTTCCTCTTGGCCTTTCTCACCTTAATAGTTTTCATTCCATGGCACAGGGAACCAGTGTGGGATTCTCCCAGTTGCCATTTATGTCTATTCCAGTTACACCTTCAGGTACTGGAGAAATAACCACGGACTCAGTCTCCGGGCTTGCTAGAGTCATTGTAAGACAGCTCAAGACAAGATTTCATTTATCACCAGATCCTTGTAAGTCCCCACTCTGGCTGATGGACCATGGTGATTTTTAGGATCTCCAGAGATTAGCATCCCTTCAGAGTTAGTATCCAATAACCTCAGCAAGGTCTGCACATTTCCCTTGTCTTGTGCCCAGTCACCCTAGCAAATCGCCTGTCAGGTATCTCTGGGGAAGGCGTGGAGGAAATTTACAGAGTCCCCTGTGGTCATATTTCAGGGCTCTTTCTTAAAGAGACCTGACCTCTCTCTAAGTCAAAGGATTCTAAGCTTGTGAACCGCCTTATCTTTGTGAACTAGGCGAAAAGTTTTTGGCTTTATGTCTGCCTGAGTCAGGTTTCTGTCCACCATAACTATGATTTTCCCAATTATATGGATCTATACTATCTAATGTGGTAGCTGCTAGTCACATGTGGTCATTGAGCACTTGAAATGTGGCTAGCCCCAATTGAGATGTGCTTACATGGAAAATACACATTGGATTTCAAAGACCTAGTACAAATAAATAATATAAAACATCTCATTAATAATGTTTTATATTGGCCAGGCATGGCTTATGCCTGTAATCCCAGCACTTTGGGAGGCCAAGGTGGGAGGATCGCTTGAGCCCAGGAGTTAGAAACCAGTCTGGGCAACACAGAGATACCCTGTCTCAACAAATAATTTAAAATCAGCCAGGGCTGGGTGTGGTGGCTCGTGCCTATGATCCCAGCACTTTGGGAGGCTGAGGCAGGTGAATCACTTGAGGTCAGGAGTTCAAGACTACCTTGGCCAACATGGTGAAACCCCGTCTCTACTAAAAATACAAAAATTAGCCAGGCATAGTGGCACATGCCTGTAATTCCAGTACTCAAGAGGCTGAGGCACGGGAATCTCTTGCACCTAGGAGGCAGAGGTTGCAGTGAGCCGACTGTGCCACTGCACTCCAGCCTGGGTGACGGAGTGAGACTCTGTCTCAAAAAAAAAAAAGGAAAAAAAATTTAGCTGGGTGTGGTAGTGCACACCTGTAGTCCCAGCTACTTGCGAGGCTGAGGTGGGAGGATCACTTGAGACTGGGAGGTTGAGGCTGCAGTGAGCCATGATCGTACCATTGCATTCATGATCTGCCTGGGCGGCAGAGAAAGACCCCATCTATAAATAATAATAATAACAAATGTTTTATATTGATTACATGTTGAAATGATAACTCTTTAGATATGAGTTAAAATACATTATTAAAATTATCATCTCCTTTTTTAACTTTGTTAATGTGTCTACTAGAGAATTAAAATTTACAAATGTGGCTCACATTACATTTCTTTTGGGCTATGCTGATAAAGATCAGTTTGCTACTACCTATGATCAATGTGCTGCAACCATAAATCCATGTGGGACAAACAGTCTGATTACTGTTCTATCTTTCTGTCTTATTGGAGTAACTGGGCCCACCTTGTCTCTGATAGTCAATCACTGTTTCTGATTGTCACTGTGAGTTCCTATTACTACAGTTAGTATTACAGACTGTAATGTAATGGCAACATCTCATCTCACTGTCATCCCTAGTCTTTAGAAGCTACCACAGAACTTTTCAAAGATGCTGGTGTTCTTACTGATGAATTTTTAAATATTTTGTAAGGGAAGTGTCCTCTGTGCCTTAGGGGATGGATTCAGCAGATTATATAATATATAATAGATACATTTCAATTTCCCACCTCAACAAACTTCCAATTCTTTGATTCTTTCTACAATATGCTAGGGAAGTTCTGGCATACTCAGCCTCATTAGATGTAGGGCATTGTTATATCAAAGAGTGAATTACTTAACCAGGCAAACTATTAGAGCCATTCCCAGCTGCTTAAGCTACATCTTGAATCCCAGGTGAATTCACCTATATTGCCAAATTTGATCCAATCCAGCTAGATTTCATCCTGCTTGGTCTACTACTCTTGGAATCTATTCCCAAACATGTTCACCAGGTTTCTGCTAATATAACAAAAAGACATTGTAATTCTTTTGGAGTATAACTATGTCCTTCTGGAGAAGATCTTTCATTTTTTTCCTCTAGGCCATAAGATTTCTCCTGGCCCTGGAGGCAATGAGATAAGGTGGGGCTAGGTCTTTAGGACAATAGACTGCCTCTTGCAAGGCAACTACCCTATGTGAAATAGAAAAGTCTATGCAAGGGACTACTTTCTCCAGTAAGGGTAATTCAGGGGCACTTAGGGGGCCAATTATCTCAGTTTGTTTGTTTGTTTGTTTGTTTGTGACAGAGTCTCACTCTGTCACCCAGGCTGGAGTGCAGTGGTGAGATCTCAGCTCACTGCAACCTCTGCCTCCCAGGTGCAAGCAATTCTTGTGTCTCAGCCTCCTGAGTAGCTGGGATCACAGGTGCGTGCCATCATGCTCGGCTAATTTTTGTATTTTTAGTAGAGATGGAGTTTCACCATGTTGGCCAAGCTGGTCTCGAACACCTGGCCTCAAGCCATCCACCCGACTCAGCTTCCGAAAGTGCTGGAGTTACAAGCTTGAGCCACTGCTCCCAGCCAGGAATTTCAGTTTCATTTGTTTCATTCCAAATGTCCTCTTCCCAATCTCAGGGCCCAATTCTAGCACAGACTAATGTTAGATAAGGTTGTACATTTAAGAGGCTTTACAAATCTTCAACCCCCACAATTATATCTTAGGCGTGACCCACAGCTTTGTCTTCCCTGAGGCTTCATGAGATAAGGAATTCCTATAAGGCCTCCGTAGAAACTTTCCGGTTCTACACCCATGTCTTGAGTTGCAAGTTCAAGGTTCAAAGCTTCTCTCTCTTTCTCTCTCTCTCTCTCTTTCAAACTCTCCAGCACAGTCAGAACTAGCCAGCCCATCCTGTAATTACTGTAATCACCTCTGACTGTTGCCATAACAGTGGTCACATAAAACTGCACCTTCCACTAGCTCTCCATCCTACATCACCATCAGTAATAATGTGAGTCATCTTAATGCTACTTCATGCCACACCATGTCCCATTTCCATCCACCATAAGGTCATTTATGCCTTCATTACATAAGTGAGAAACCTAGTTCCCAAATCTCATTTTCAAGGTTGTTCCTAGGACCACTTCAGTTACCAACTATTGCATTAGTCAGGGTCTCAGCAGGAAGCAGCATCTACACCAGATGGTTTAGATAAAGATATCTTAATGAAGAGCTATCACAGAGGCATGAGCAAGGTTAAGGGGGCAAATGTGGGATGTTAAGGAACTAATGGCTTAGCAACTGTGTGAAGCCATCACTACTTCAAGGGCTGAGAGCAGAAGCAAATAATGTCACCAAAGGAAGAAGTCAGATGTAGAGTCATGAAGGAAGAGACACAGGGCAGGAGTTGCAGTCCATGGAGGGTCACAGCCACCGCCAGAGATGTAATATACATGCAGGGAAGAACTACTCCAACCTCACTGCCAAAAACAATCGGAAGCTGGAAGACAAAGGAGCCTAGGCAGTGCGTTCCAGAAAAAGGGCGAGTATCCTGGGCCACAAGCAGCATAAAGAAGGGCTGAGAATGCATTTCAGGTAGGAGGGAAAAAGCTCTCCAGCTCTCCAGGTATGGCACTATACATGAACCATGTCCCTTAATCCTTCTAACCTAATATTAATAAGGCATAAACTATTATTATCCCCATTTTACGGATGAGGACATACGCTCAGAGAATAGCTTGCTCAAGATTATACAAATAGTCAATGGTGGGGCTGCAACTTGACCTGGGCAATTTGAACTTTAGTTTTTGTATCATGCTGAATGAGATGAGTTAGGCTAGAGTAGAGGGTTCCACTAGAGGAGAAGTGAAGACATTTGGGGCCAAAGCATGGAAGACTTGAAATCTGCTCTAAGGAATTCTGTAGCTTTCTCTCCAAGTTGTAGGCAGGTACCACAACTGTTCTGCAGTGCTTAATCAAGCCCTGCAGGAATTAGAAAATTTATTCACCTTTGCTGCTGCTTCTTAGTAACCTGGTCCAGAGAGTCAGCCTTGAAGAACCTGCCTTGTGCTCCTGAGTGTGGAAGATGTTGGCTGTTTGTGCTCCCCATTATCCATATCCTTTTATGGAGTAAGTATGCTATCATATTACTCTGGGGGAGCCTCCACCATTCCTCTTGGGTCATGAGTTTTGGGTTGAGGTCCTAAGCAAGTCAGCATATTGCATTTTCCTCAGTGACAATGATTGGCCCAAAGATGGATCCAAGCTCCTCAGGAGGCTGAGGCAGGAGGACTGGTTGAGCCCAGGAATTCAAGACCAGCCTGGAGAAAATAGCAAGACCCTGTCTCAGTAAATAAATAAATAAATAAATAAATAAATAAATAAATAAATAAATAAATACGGTGGGCATATGACTCAAGTCAGGCCAAAAGGAGCCAAGAAAAGTCAATTCCTAGAACTTCATCAGAGTAATAATCATCTGAAAAGAATTTGGGGTATGGCTTTTACTGCCAGATTTCTATAGATGAAGCCAAGACTGAAGCCAACACAGAAGAAAGGCGAACTGAGACATGACCCACGTCACATCCCTATAACAGGCTTGAGCCTTCATCCAGCCATAGCCACATCCTGGCAGATCCCTGGACTTTTTGTTACGTAAGCCATCAATTCAGTTTTTTTGCTTATGACAGTTTTTTGCCTTTTGTAATCATAAGGCAAATGTGGCAAGGTGAGCAGCTGGCCCCACCTTCTCCAGAAAGTGCTCCAATATTTCCCTTTATCCCACAGATTCTATAAGCCTGAGGAGTGAGTCCCAAGATGGAAGAAACCTATGTGATGGCAGAGGGTGAGACGCCCCGGAGAAGAGGAATATATCCCCTGGGATGAGAGACAAGATAAACGCTTGAATCAACACACTCCTCCACAGAGGTATATTTAGTAAACTTTTTTCCTCACAGGGCTTGAAAGATCAAAATTGCTTTTTAAAAAATAATAAAAAGAAGCAGCCACTGTGGTTTCTTTTGACACCAGCCCAATTTCGTGCCTGTCACAATACTTCCAAATAACATGTGTAAGACTTCGCTGGGCTGTCTCTTTTTCCATGAAACCCAAAGCAAAAAACAACAACAAAAGTCTGCAGTTCCAGCTGCACAATAACGTTTGGTCAGAGGCTTCCTGAGACCTCTAACATTCCTGGATGGTTTATAGGACCTGATGTTTTCCCTGCAACTGCAAAATATCTTTGCACAGATAAATTGTGGGCTAACAGTATGAACCCACACTGACAGCCTAAACTCCCAGATTCATAATTTAGTGCCCTTGGAGAGCCTCCAAAATCTACCTGGTCCATATTTATACCTAGAAAATATAGAGGCCATCAGAATCTTCCTCATGGAAGACAGAGCCATTGGGCTACTGAACTTAACGTTTCACTGTAGCCCTCAAAGACTTCCTGCTCCACCCCACTTCCCACCCTATTCCCCTCCGTGCAAAAATACTCCCCAAAATAGCTATATTCTCCTGCACTCTCGGTTTCTTTCTTCTAGGCACAAAAGTATATCTTCCAGAAAAAAAGTGTATCTTGTCTTATGCCAAATTTGCCCTTCTATTTGTAGTTTTGATCCTATTTTACACTGAGGACTTGGTCTTCAGTTACTCATTTTCTCTAATTTTTAAAACAAAGTATTTAATCAGCTTCATGGAAGTATAATTTACATACAGCAAAATGCAACCATTTTAACAAATGGGTGAGTTTTGGCAAATGAATACATCTGTCTAACACTTAGCACCACAATCAAGATATAGAACAGTTCCATCACCCCAAAAAGCTGCCTCATGCAATCAATTCTCCTTCAAATCTGCCCCCCACTTCTCAGTAACCACTGCTGGGGTGTTAGAGATCTGTCCTCCATCATTATAGATTAGTTTGTGCTTTAAGAGAATGTCACATAAATGGAATAATACAATATGTAGTTTTTTATGTTTGACTTCTTTTGCTCAGCATAGTGCTTTTGAAATGCATCATATTGTGTATGTCAGTAGTTCACCCTTTTTATTGCCAAGTGGTATTCCATTGTATAGATATGCTACAATTTATTTATTTTTAACTCTGCATATTTACAGGGTACAGTGTGATTTTTTTTTTTTTTTCTTTTTGAGACAGAGTCTCGCTCTTTCGCCCAGGCCAGAATGCAGTGGCTCTATCTTGGCTCACTACAGGCTCCGCCTCCCAGGTTCACGCCATTCTCCTGCCTCAGCCTCCCGAGTAGCTGGGACTACAGGCGCTCGCCACCACGCCTGGCTGATTTTTTGTATTTTTAGTAGAGACGGGGTTTCACTGTGTTAGCCAGGATAGTCTCAATCTCCTGACCTCATGATCCACCCACCTTGGCCTCCCAAAGTGCTGGGATTACTCGCATGAGCCACCGCGTCCGGCCTACAGTGTGATATTTTAATACATGTATACGATGTGTAAAGATCGAATCAGGGTAATTAGCATATCCATCACCTTAAACATTTATCATTTCTTTGTGTTAGGAACATTTAAAATCTTCTCTTCTAGCTATCTGAAAATATACAATTAGTTGTGGTTAAATAGTCATTCTACAGTACTCTAGAACACTATAACATACTCCTCCTAGATAGCTGTCATGCTATAACTTTTAACCAACCTTTGGCTATTCCCCTCACCCACCCCTACTTTACCCCTACCTCTGGTAACCACTCTACTTCTATGAGATCAACTTTTTTAGCTTCCACATATAAGTGAGAACATGTGCTATTTATCTTTCTGTGCCTGACTTATTTCACTTAACATAATGTACTACAAGCTTATCCATGTTGCTGTGAAATGACAGCATTTCATTCTTTTCTATGGCTAAATAGTATTCCATTGGGTATATATACCCCATTTTATTTTTTATTTTCTTTTATTTTATATTACTTTAAGTTCTGGGATACATGTGCAGAACGTGCAGGTTTGTTACATAGGTATACACGTGCCATGGTTCTTTGTTGCACCTATCAACCCATCATCTAGGTTTTAAGCCCCGCATGCATTAGGTATCTGTCCTAATGCTCTCCCTCCCCTTGCCCCCACCGACAGGCCCCAGTGTGTGTTGCTCCCCTCCCTGTGTCCATGGGTTCTCATTGTTCAACTCCCACTTATGAGTGAGAACATGCGACATTTGGTTTTCTGTTCCTGTGTTAATTTGCTGAGGATGATGGCTTCCAGCTTCATCCATGTCCCTGCAAAGGACATGATCTCATTCTTTTTTATGGCTGCATACTATTCCGTGGTGTATATGTACCACATTTTCTTTATCCAGTCTATCTTTGATGGGCATTTGGGTTGGTTCCATGTCTTTGCTATTGTAAATAGTGGTGTAATAAACGTACATGTGCATGTGTCTTTATAGTAGAATGATTTATATTCCTTTGGGTATATACTCAGTAATGGAATTGCTGGTCAAATAGTATTTCTGGTGTTATATCCCTCAGGAATCACCACACTGTCTTCCACAATGGTTGAACTAATTTGCATTCCCACCAATAGTGTAAAAGTGTTCCTGTTTCTTCACAGCCTCGCCAGCATCTATTGTTTCTTGACTTTTTAATAATCGCCGTTCTGATTGGCATGAGATGGTATCTCATTGTGGTTTTGATTTGCATTTCTCTAATGATCAATGATGATGAGCTTTTTTCCTATGTTTGTTGGCCGCATAAATGTCTTCTTTTGAGAAGTGTCTGTTCATATCCTTTGCCCACTTTTTGATGGGGTTTTTTTTTCTTGTAAATTTGTTTAAGTTCCTTGTTGATTCTAGATATTAGACCTTTTTTAGATGACCTTTGTTAGATGGGTAGATTGCAAAAATTTTCTCCCATTCTGTAGGTTGCCTATTCACTCTGATCCTAGTTTCTTTTGCTGTGCAGAAGCTCTTTAGTTTAATTAGATCCCATTTGTCAATTTTTATATACCACATTTTCTTCATCCATTCATCTGCTAATGGACACAAGTTGATTCCATATCTTAGCTATTGTGAATAGTGCTGCAATAACCAGGGGAGTGCAAACATCTTTTAACATACTGGTTTCCTTTCCTTTGTTTTCTTTTTCTTTTTGTTTTTTTCTTTTTAAGGGACACAGCCTCAGGAAGTCCTGACAACCTGTGCCCAAGGTATTCCCCTTTCCTTTGAATATATACCCAACTAGTGGGATTGCTGGATCGATATGTCACAATTTACTTATCTATGTATCTGTTGATGGACATTTGGGTTGTTTTCAGCATATACAATCTTTGTGTGACCACTTTTACGTTTCTCTTGTAGAAATACCTAGAAGTGGAATTTTGAATCATATGGTAAGTGTATATTTACTTTGTAAGAACCTGGCTGGGCGTGGTGGTTTGTGCCTATAATCTCAGCACTTTAGGAGGGCCAAGGTTGGAGAATTACTTGAACCCAGGAGTTTGAGACCAGCTTGGACAAAAAAGTGAGACCCTGTCACTACAAAAAATTTAAAAATTAGCCAGGCATGGTGGCGCATACCTGTAGTCCCTGCGACTCAAGTGGCTTGAGTAGCTTGTGCCAGGAGTTTGAGGTTGCAATGAGCTGTAATCATGCCACTGCACTCCAGCCTGGGAGAAAGAGTGAGATCCTGTCTCAAACAAAAAGAGAGAGAGACCAAGAGAGAGACAGAACCTGACAAATTGTTGTCCAAAGTGGATATACCATTTTACACTATGCCAGCAATATTGAGAGTTCCAGTGCTTCACATCCTAACCAGCACTCAGTATTATCAGTCTTTTTAACTTTTGCCATCTTATAGATCTGTAGCAGTATCTCTTGCGGTTTTAATTTTCATTTCCCTAATAACTAAAGATGTTGTGCATCTTTTCATGTGCTCTTGACCATTTGTATCCTCTTTATTCAAATCTTTTGCACATTTTTTTGTTCTCCTATGATTGAGTTGCATTAGTGTTTTGTGATACGTATTTGAGAGTATGTATAAATATGACAATATATTTATATGAAAATATATAAATATTTTCAGTATTTGTATTATATACATATGTCTTCATTTATGTTTGTTTCCATTTTCTTAACAGTATCTTTCAAAGGGCACGATATGGTTTGGATCTGTGTCCCTGCCCAAATCTCATGTCAAATTGTAATCCCAATGTTGGAGGAGGGGCCTGGTGGGAGGTGATTAGATCATGGGGGCAGATTTCCTCCTTGCTGTTCTTGTGATAGTGAGTTTTCCTGAGATGTGGTTGTTTAAAAGTGTGTAGCACCTCCCCCTTTTCTCTCTTCCTCCTTCTCCGGCCATGTGAAGATGTTCCTGCTTCCCCTTCCCCTTCCCCTTCCACCATAATTGTAAGTTTCCTGAGGCTTCCCCGGCCATGCTTCCTATACAGCCTGCAGAACTGTAAGCCAATGAAAGCTCTTTTCTTTGGAAATTACCCAGTTTCAGGTATTTAGGTATTTCTTTTTCTTTCTTTTTTTTTTTTTTTTGACAGAGTCTCACTCTGCCACCAAGGCTGGAGTGCAGTGGCATGATCTTAGCTCACTGCAACCTTCACCTCACAGGTTCAAGCGATTCTCCTGCCTCAGCCTCCCGAGTAGCTGGGATTACAGGCATGGGCCACCACACCCAGCCAATTTTTGTATTTTTAGTAGAGACAGGGTTTCACCATGTTGGCCAGGCTGGTCTCGAACTCCTGACCTCATGTGATCCACCTGCCTCAGCTTCCCAAAGTGCTGGGATTACAGGTGTGAGCCACCAAGCCTAGCCAGGTATTTCTTTATAGCAGCAATTAGAATAGATTAATACAGAGCACAATTTAATTTTTATGAAGTCTAATTTGTCTCTCTTATATTTTAACTTTTGCTGGTTCCTTCCCTTCAGCATAGAAACACATTCCAGTCTTGTCCAATATCTAACAAAACTAAGCCAAACAAAAACAAGATAACCACCTCCTCCAAAAGCCCTTTATTGAACTCATATCCCTTTCCAGCTACTGGCATGTCCTCTTTCCTCCTTTCACAGCCAAACAGCTCAAAGGAAAAGTCACCTTTTACTGTCTGGACATCTTCTAAAACCTCATTCCATCTTGAACCCACTCTCACCACTCCACTGCAAAATTGGCAGAGTCTTTTTAGACTCAGAAGTATAGCCGTGTTCTAACATCTAGGGAAGCAAGTGTATACAAATATTACCACCCTTGGTTTGCAAGGGCAGGGCTGAGAGCAAGGCTGGACAGAGGTGGGGCTTGTGCAGTTGGGTGGTGGGGACTGGAGAAGCCCTTTGACTACTTTCTCTTCATGTTTCAGAATCTTGCTTTCTCTTGGTTTCTTCTCATATCCTTTGTTGCTGTCTATATAATCATCTCATCAACACATTAACTTAAAAATGATTGATGAAGGCTGGGTGTTGTTTGACAGACCAAGGCAGGAGGATCATCTGACGTGAGAAATTCAAGATCTTCCTGGGAAACATAGCAAGGTTCCAAATCTAAAAAAAAAAAGATGAGGAGTTACCTATGGAGATGCACTTGATGAGGATGATCTTTCCCTGCTTCCACTGCTTCCTCCCAGCCCTTTGGCTTCACAAGCCCACCACTCTATTCCCACCCACTCCATCAAGTAGACTTCAGGTCTCATCTTTCCTGTCTTCCCTACAGTGCTGGTCAGTGTCAACTACTCTCTTATTCTCTGTCACCTCCTCCTTCTTGCCTAGAAACACATATTGAGTACCTATTGTGCAATAGCTCAATGACAAAAAATATTCACCAGATTATGTATCTGATGATGAGAGACACAGATCCTGCTCTCAGGAAGCTCATGTCCTAGTTGGTGAGCCATCTTTCACCATAGTATGATATACAAGGGTGCAGAGGAGTAGCACCCAAGTCAGTTTAAGGGCATTAAGGCATTACAGGAGCTCCAAGCACTGGGAACAGCACCTTCAAAAGTGTGTGAATGCAAGTGTAAAATAAATCAAGTGTGAGAGAGCAAGGCATCTACAGAAAACAGTTCTGATGGGTGGGGCTTAGGGAACTGGTGGGAAGTGGCACAGGATGTTAAGAATAGCACTGCCTTTGTATCACAGAAGTGCCTATCTATCCACCAAAATCCAATCTCCTAGAGATGGCTGGACTACTGGACCATTCCCCAGCCTCCCTTGTTATTAGGTGGAGACACATGGCTATGTTATCATCAATGGGTTGAGAGCAAAAGTGGTATGTGTCACTTCTGAGCCAGGGCTTTTTAAGAGAGTGAGTGTGCCTCCTTCTTGCTCTCTTTCACATTTGAGAGCTGGATAGAGACAAAAACAAGGCCCTAAGGAGACGGTGGAGCCATAAAATGAGAACAGTTCAGATTCCCGAATGACTTTGTGGAGCAGAGCTTCATTGCAAACCTGAACAACTGGCCAATATTGTTACATGAACAATGAAACTTCTAATGTGTTAAGCGTGGAAAGTTTTAAGTCACTTTTGTTGTTTCAGTATAACCTACCCTATCTAATACATTCTGATTATGGTGCATTTGTGAAAACTTTATAAAAATAAATATATATATGTATATATTTAAAAATTGAGTGAAATATACCAAAATGTTAGTAATGATGGTTGTCTGTGGGTGGTGAAATTATGGGTGGATTTTATTTTCTTTCCAGTTTTCTGCCTTTTCCAAATTTGCTACAATGAGCAGTATTGTTTACAGTCATGACAAATGTAAGTTCTCTAAATTTACAGAGTTAAGAAAGTTACAGAGTTAAGAAAGAATCTCATTAATGGAAGCATATAGATATCTATTCAAGTAGTAGATTTAAGGGTAGAAAAAAAAAACAGAGGAAAAGGCAAGAGAGCAATTCAGTTCCACATGTATTGAGGACCTAGTCCTGTAAAGACAAAGAGTAGGGACACAACAATGAAAAGCTCCCAGTCCTTGCCTCTCCTGGATTCTTACTCTCCAGCCCCCAAGCCCAAAACATCACTCCACCCCATGACACGCCTTGTTGCTGCTGGTGGGTGGCAGGGAGGAAGGTTTTCTTTTAGCTTCCTTTGTGTTTTCCTTCACATAGTTTAGGGAGGCTGAAAATACACATGAAGTTGACAGAGAGAGATGGGGGGACCAGAAGATGGAGAAATGAGAACCAGGTGTTGGAAAGGGGAACGCTGGTGGGGCTTTACAGATGGAACACACACTTCCTGTCCCTCCCACTTCCTTCCTAAAATTTACTACTCCCTTGGCTTCTGTGAGAACACAAATTCCTAATTATCCTTCTATCCCTCTGGCCACAGGCTGCTTTTTCTCTGTCATATTCTTGGTTCCTCAAGAATCCATCTGAGGTCTCTTCTCTTCTCACACTGCCTTCTGAAGGGGTCTCATCATGCCAACGTCACCCCACGTCTGTCCTCCAGCTTAGCAACAAGTCCAGATGGAAAACTGCCTCAGCGGCAACACAATGAAATTCCACCACCTCCCTCCCTCCTTCCTACCCGTAAGCCTAGCTCACCACCATTTTATCCAACCCCAAAGAAACCTAGGTGTTATCCTCAATCTTCATCCCTCTCCTCCACTGATTACCAAGTCTGTTCCTTATATTTCTTTAAGATCTTTTGAAAGCACCTAGTTCCCTTCATCCCCACTGCCATGGCATCTATTCAAGGCACATCATCTCTTGTGTGAATTTCTATAACAGTCCCTGAATTCATTTTCAGACGCTGAAGTCTCTCCATTTTTCACACATATCCAAGAATGTATGTTCCTATGTTTCTCTGACTTTAAAACTATGAATTCTTTCTTTCTTTCTTTCTTTCCTTCCTTTCTTTCCGTTCCTTCCTTCCTTCCTTTTCTCTCTCTCTCTCTTTTTTTTTTTTTAGAGACAAGGTATTGCTCTGTCACCCAGGCTAGAATGCAGTGGCACAATCATGGTTCACTGCAGCCTCAACCTCCTGGGCTCAAGCACTCCTCATGCCTCTGCCTCCCAAGTAACTGGGACTACAGGAACATGACACCACACTCTGCTAATTAAAAGTTTCAGTGGCTCACATATACACCATGGAATACTATGCAGCCATAAAAAATGATGAGTTCATGTCCTTTGTAGGGACATGGATGAAGCTGGAAGCCATCATTCTCAGCAAACTATCGCAAGGACAAAAAACCAAACACCGCATGTTCTCACTCATAGGTGGGAATTGAACAATGAGAACACGTGGACACAGGAAGGGGAACATCACACACCGGGGCCTGTTGTGGGGTGGGGGGACGGGGGAGGGATAGCATTAGGAGATATACCTAACGTTAAATGACGAATTAATGGGTGCAGCACACCAACATGGCACATGTATACATATGTAACTAACCTGCACGTTGTGCACGTGTACCCTAAAACTTAAAGTATAATAAAAAAAAGTTTCAGTGGCTCTAAATTGCACTCAATATAACTTCTAAGCTCCTTAACCTGTCTTTCCGGACCACCTGTGGAAGTATTTTGGTCAATAAGCACGTGGGCTCTGGAGTGTACCACCTACCAGCTTATGTAACCAATCAGCGACTTAACTTCTCTGAGCCTCAGTTTCTTGTCTGCAAAATGGGGATAATATTGTGGGGCTGTTGGAGGATTAACTGAGACGTGCAAATTGCCTAGCAAGGTACTTGGACCAAGGCACAAGAAAAAGGTGGAAAGAGGTGGAGAGAGGAAGCTTTTGAAGGAAGAGGAGAAGAAAACAAGAGAAAAAGATCAATAGAGTTTGAGGAAAGAGTTGGACAAGAGGGAGAAAGAAGATTAGAGGAGGGATGTCTAAATGGAGGTAAAGAAAATGGGAAGAAAAAAATGTCGAAGGAGGAGCTACCTTTCCGAGGGAAAACAGCCCTTCTCAGGATGAAAGGGGACTGTGAAGTCTGGGAGCATTTAGTATGATAATTAGGGCTGCCGAGCCTGGGGTGGATGTGGGTGAGGGCTGTCCTGGCGTGGGTCCTATCTCAGGGCTGGACCAGTTCCGCTAGGGGGCAGTGTGGAGCTCTTGCTCTTTGGCGGTAAGTAATTCACCTTCTTCTCCCTGAGGGTGCTGGGGAAACAGCCTCCGTTGATGTCAAGTCACTCGGATAGATTCTGCTACTTGTTATTTGAGGGATAGGACAGGCATCGAGCTTTCTGGAGATTAATTTTTGATTTATTGGTGGTAACAATGATTTATTCTGATACACCCCCAGGGCAAAGAAAGGGCTGTAAATATTTTAAAAGCTGTTAGTCGGTGACAAGAAACATCACCGCTTAGGGAGTAGGGCAGGTGAGAATTTCCAATGCCTTCCCTAAATTACTTAAAGGCAAACTGTGAACGCTTGCTAGCTTGTTTAAGACAGAGGCTGGGGGAGGGGGTGAGAAACATATTAAATTATTATCTTATTAACTCAGACAACATCTTATGTTTTCTCCGCAGAGTCCATTTGCTTTCCCGACAAACTGCATTGGATTGGATTTCACAGGCTGCTGAGGCAATGCAAGGAGACAGCTTTCAGACTCCTGGAGAGAGGAGGCTGCAGGAGCGTGATCAGGACAACAGCCACGTGGCCCATGCTCTCCAGCAACACCCAAGGAGCCCAGGATTCAGAGCAGGGCCGGTGGTGGGGAAAGCCCTGAACGAGAATCCCACACTGGCTGCATGACCTCAGATGAGGCACCTTGACCCTGAATCTCAGTTTCCCTACCTGTAAAATAGGATGATAATTTTTGCTGGTGTGGCAGAGTGGAAACTAAGTCTGGGAGTGTTTGGTTTGATTATTAGAAGAAACAGGCCAGGCACAGTGGCTCACGCCTGTAATCCCAGCATTTTGAGAGGCTGAGGTGGGTGGATCACTTGAGGTCAGGAGTTCAAGACCAGCCTGGCCAACATGGCGAAATCCTGTCTCTACTAAAACTACAAAAACTAGCTGGGTGTGGTGGTGCACACCTGTAATCCCAGAGTAGGCTGAGGCAGGAGAATCGCTTGAACCTGGGAGGCAGAGATTGCAGGGAGCCAAGATGGCTCCACTGCATTCCAGCCCAGGCGACGGGGTGAGACCCAGTCTCACAAAAAAGAAAAAGAAGGAGAAGAAGAAGAAGAAGAGGAAACTGCCCCATAGAGTAGGCTTTTTCAGCCTCCTCTCCCTGGGTCCTCATATCAGCCCTGATTGCCAGGAAGAAGAGAGGTGACGATTTCCTCTCACATAGTAAGGAAATTGTGGCTCAGCGATAAACTCCAGCTAGCTTGGGGAGTGAGAGGAATGCCAGGAGTCAGTCGTGGGTGATGGGCAGCGCCGGGCTCTCTAGGAGCTCCTGTGGTCGTCTGGCTTTATCCCTCCTCAAAGAGCTGGGAGTAGGGGAGTGAGGCACTTGCCTCAGGCATGCAAAATGTAAGGGGGTGCCAAAAAACTCAGTGATCAAGATAAATAATATCTTAATGTGATATTTTTAAAAATCAAAATTGGTGCAAAAAATCCATAATGAACAAAATATCTAATTTTTAAATAAAGATAAGATCAATCCTTATCTCATAACACAAGCTGTCTCTTCTGCCTGAGCACAGAGGCAGGAATGCCCTGGGATGGAGGAAATACTGCGTGGGACTCCATATTGGGGTTTTATTCATCTTGGCCTCTCAGTTCAGGGGGTGACTCTTTTTTTTCTCTGACCTCCAGCTTTCCCACCAGAGGCAGGAGAGCCAAGCAATCTGCCCTTAGGCTCTGGAGTAAGGTAAAGCTGGATGTTAATCCCTGCTCCATTACTTATTAGCTAGGGGACCTTTGGATAGTAGCTTGGAATAGTGGCTTAACATCCTGTAAACCTCAGTTTTCTTTCTTTTCTTTTTTTTTTTTTTTTTTTGAGATGGAGCCTGGCTCTGTCACCCACGCTGGAGTGCAATGGCGTGACCTCTGCTCACTGCGACTTCCGCCTCCCGGGTTCAAGTGATTCTCCTGCCTCAGCCTCCTCAGTAGCTGGGATTACGGGTGCGTGCCACCACGCCTGGCTAGTTTTTTGTATTTTTAGCAGAGACAGGGTTTCACCATGTTGGCCAGGCTTGTCTCAAACTCCTGACCTCAGGTGATCCACCCACCTTGGCCTCCCAAAGTGCTGGGATTACAGGCGTGAGCCTCCACGCTCGGCCTTAAACCTCAGTTTTCTAGTCTGTAAACCTCCATTTTCTAATCTGTACCTGCCTGGCTGGGTTACTGTGAAGATTAAATGAGAAAATGTGCACATGGCTTTTAACACAGGACCTCCGCCATCATAAGTGCTCAATAAACATTACTTACTGTTTTTACCTCTAAATTAAGTATCATTGTCCTCAGTCCCAAAGTGAGACAAATTATATGCTAAAGAGATATGATAGCACCTAGAAGGAAGGAGAAAAAAAATCAAGCACAGTGTCCCATTCCACTGCTGGAAGCCACCAGGAAGACAGTACTATCTACACAACTCTCTGTCTCCTAAAGGAATTCTGGGCATAGTCTGGGTGTTTCAGCCAGGCCCCTCCCAAGAGAAGTTCAAGGTTGAACCCAACCTGCTGGACCACAGGGAGTCTCCTAATCCCAGCCACACATTCCCCAGAGCAGGTGCCACAAGCCCAGAGACAAGTCACCATGGGAAGGTGGATGTCAGGGCAGCTGAGCCCTGAGGGTCTTGGTAATGAAAAACTCCCCACCAACACTATCACTGGTCCTGCTTCCCTTTTTGAATTGGATGCTAAGGAGCCTAGAGCTAAATTTACAGCCCATCTTTAGCAAGCACATAATACTTCACTTCATACATTTGGTGTGGAAACCTCCATCTACAATTCCTGCTGTTATTTTCTGTTTGTCTCATTTCCTCTCACTTGTTTTAATGTACTTTACGCTGCCTTAAATCCATTTTGGAACAAGGTGGGGAATAGATAAATACATCCTAACTGTATTTAAACAGCTTTCCATTGTATATGTATATATTCTTGTGTATCTCTTTTCTAAAAATTACTGCCTGCTGATGCCTGCAAATGGCTGTGTTTGCGTGTGCTAATTGTGTAACTGACTGGATTTAAAATTGAGAGCTTTGATGAGTACCCAGGAAGCAAGGAAACAGGGTGTTTTCATTTTCAGTATAAAAGGGAGGGTTGGGCCCAGGTGTCTGCCTTAAGAATAGTCAGTTTAAGGCAATGGTTCTCAACTGGGGCCAGTTTTCCCTCCCAGGGGGGCGCTTTTGGCAATCTCTGGAGGCATTTTTGGTTATCACAACTTAGAGGGCAGGCATCCGGCATTGCTACTGGCATCTAGCACGTAGAGGCCAGGGATACTGCTAAACATTCTACAATGCACAGGACAGGCCCCTCAACCAAGAGGCACCCGGGCTAAATCATCAATAGTGATGAGGCTGAGAAACCCTGACTTCAAGGTAGAGGAGTTCTAGAAGGAAGAAGGAGCAGAGGCTTGCAGGTACCAAGGCTGCTCTGGGAACCCTCAGGGCAGCCTTCCTGAACCGGGCCAGGAAGAGGAAACAGTGGAGAGGGCCCCAGCTCCTCAGTTACCAGGAGAACCCGGAATCTCTTACTGGGCCATGAGAGAAACAAGAACAACTCATGAATGAAACAGATTCCTCAGGTGTCCAGGAGGAGTGAGGCTTTTGTTGTCTAGGAAGGGGGAGCCTTTCATCTGACACAAGATAGCTTTTTTTTTTTTTTTTTTTTTTTTTTTTTAAGACAGGGTCTCACTCTGTCATCCAGGCTGGAGTGCAATGGTGCAATGTAGGCTTACTGCAGCCTCAACCTCTGAGGACCATCTGCTACACTCAGTCCACCAATTCAAATGCTAATCTCTCTGGGGCCCAAGGGATCCTCCTACCTCAGCCTCCTGAGTAGCTGAGAGCACAAGTGTGCACCGCCATGCATGGCTTATTTATTTATTTATTTTTGTAGAGATGAGGGTTTTCCTGTGTTGCCCAGGCTAGTCTTGAACTCCTGGGCTGAAGCGATTCTCCTGCCTTGGCTCCCCAAACTGCTGGGTTGAAGGTGTGAGCTGCTGCACTTGACCTCAGCAGCAGATGTCTTCTAGTTGCCCCTGCTCCTCCTCCACTGAGATCTCTGCCTCAAGAAGCTTCCAGTTTTGTTCAGCCCCAGCAGAGGATAAGAAGGCAAAGAAAACTGAAGAAGGGACATTGATTTCCTGGCCCCTCTCCATGGGGCTGCCTCAGGTCAGCTGAGTTCCTCCACTGAAGTCACAGCTCCTCTCAAAGGGTCCCTCTCCATAATAATATTTCCTTACAGACTCTGGTAATGACTTAATGTCATCTTCTTTCATCCTTCTAGGTTAGGGATGGTCACAGCCCCCCATTTGACTAGTGCTGGCATATTATGCCATGTCTCATGGTTTCCCCATAGCCTGCTGTATTAGGATTCTCCAGAGAAACAGAACCAAGAGGAGACAGATAGATAGATAGATAGATAGATAGAGAGATAGATAGGTAGATAGATAGATAATAGATAATTAGATAGATATATGATATATTATTAGATAGATGATATAGATAGATATATAATTAGGTAGATAGATGATAGATACACAGATGGACAGATAGATTACACAGATACTAGATAGGTAGATAGATGATAGAAAGATAAATAGATTACATAGATGATAAATAGATGAGATAGATAGAGAGATAGATAGATAATAATTAGATAGATATATGATATATTATTAGATAGATGATATAGATAGATATATAATTAGGTAGATAGATGATAGATACACAGATGGACAGATAGATTACACAGATACTAGATAGGTAGATAGATGATAGAAAGATAAATAGATTACATAGATGATAAATAGATATGATAGAAAGATAAATAGATTACATAGATGATAAATAGATGAGATAGATAGATATAGATAGATAGATAGATAGATAGATAGATAGATAGATAATAGATAGTGATATAGTTTGGCTGTGTCCCCACCCAAATCTCATCTTGAATTGTAGCTCCCATAATCCCCACATGTCATGGGAGGGACCCAGTGCGAGGTAATTGAATCATGGGAGTGGGTTTTTCTCAAGCTGTTCTTGTTAATCAGTCTCACGAGATCTGATGGTTTATAAAGGGTAGTTCCCTTGCACACTCTCTTTTGCCTGCCACCATGTAAGATGTGCCTTTGCTCCTCCTTTGCCTTCCACTATGATTTGAGGCCTCCCCAGCCATGTGGAACCATGAGTCCATTAAATCTCTTTTTCTTTATAAATTACCCAGTGTCAGGTATTTCTTCATAGCAGTATGAAAATGGACTAATCCAGATAGATAGATAGATAGATGATAGATAGATAGATAATATATAGATAAATATTGGCTCACACAATTATGGGGGCTGAGAACCTCCACTGTCTGCTGTGTGCAAGCTGGAGACCCAGGAAAGCCTGATGTAGTTTGAAGGCCTGGGAAGTGGAGGGCCTGATGATGTAGATTCCAGTCCAAGTATGAAGACTTGAGAACCAGAAGTGCCAAGGGCAGTAGAAGATCAATGTCCCAGCTCAAGCTGTAAGGCAAAAAATGATTTCAACCTTCCTCCATGTTAGTATTCCGTTCAGGTCGTCCATGGACTGGATGGGCCCACCCATATGAGGGAGGACCATCTGCTACACTCAGTCCACCAATTCAAATGCTAATCTCTCCTGGAAACAACCTCATAGACACACCCAGAAATCATGCTTAACTAGATAGCTGGGCATCCCATGATCCAGTCAAATTGACACATAAAATTAACCATCACACCTGCCTATACCTCATAAATAGTCCCTTTATTAAACTTTCCTCAAATTCTCCTAATTTGAGTGTGCCATCTGTTTCCTTCAGGGATCTTAGATGATACACATTCATTCATTTGTTTATCAAATGTTCATTGAATGCCTCCTGTGTGTTTAGACACTGTTTTAGGTGCTTTGGCTACACAGATAAAGAAAATAAACCTCCCTGTTCACTGTCCCCTCACCTTCTAGACAGCACAGAGTAGCGCCTGAGTCTGCCTCGCTTCTCGCTGGACAGTGTCACTGTGCCTGCCTCAGCTCCATGCCTGAAGAGTGTACGGCCTGAGTGAGGGCTGCTCAGAGGCCAGCTGGGCAGCATGCAGAGGTGATGGGCCCAGGGCAGCAGGCAGCAGGCCATAGCCCTGACTTTCATGGCTCTGCCACCAGCCAGCTCTGCACCCTTGAGCAAGCCCCTTGGCGTCTTTGGTTTTCATTTTCCTTGTTTCCAAGGTGAGTGACTGCACTAGAAAACCGATTTGCAGATTTCTTGTATTTGGAATGAGAATTTCCTGGTCTGAGTTGTGCCCAAATCCTGTGTTGGGGGCAGCAGAAGCAGGCATTGTGTGCCAGTTGTATACATCCTAAACATTCCAGAAGGAGCCCTGGTGAGGGTGAGAGAAGGCTGAGATTTCCAGGTCCTGCTGTTTGCTGTCGGAGCTAAGGCCCCTGCTTACCTTCTGGGGTACAGAGGTAGGGCAAGTTCCTCTGGGTCCTCTGTGTATCCCTGACTCCCTCACCCCTGCCATGCCAACCACTCCTTTCTCTCAGGGCTCTATCTGTTCTTCTAGGTCCAGGTACTGCAGGCTAGGAAGCTGCAAGGGTGCAGGGAAGGCAGTCCCTGGTCCCCTCAGCACGCCCAGTGTGGCCTTGCCGGTGCCAGCTGGCAGGCCCAAGCAACTTAGGCAACCATATACACAAAGCTTTCTGGATGCTACCAGCCAGCAGGGCCTGCCAGAGGCAAATGGTCTCCCCTGCCTTGAGGCAGTGTTGCATCCAGCCATCTCAGACTTGCAGGCATGTCTTCTGCTCTGATAGACCTTCAGGGCTGGACCCCAGCAACCTCATTTTAGAAAGCCAGTAGAGATTGAAGAATGGGTAACTGGGCCACCAGCAGTGAGCAGTGATCCATGCTGGGAATGAGTAAGCAAACATTTGGTGAGTCCCCTGCCAACCACTCCTTTCATTGTGCCAGGCACCTTAATAGACAGCATCTCACTTAACCCCACAACTCCTTGGTGAGTTGGGTAATCATACAGCCCTTCATGGATAAAGACACTGATCTTAGAGAGGAAAGTGACTTTCCCAGGGTCACACAGCCAGCAAATGGAAGAGCAAGGATTTGAACCCAGGACATTGGGCTCTAAACCCAGAGAGCTTCCCATTATATCATATGCATCTCACTGTACAGAGACAACACTCTGTTCCCCAACCGCAGCTCCACCCTGCTGCAGGATCTGGTCCCTAATCTGACTCCTTGGTCCCATGGGAAATGGTAAAGTTAAAATGGGAGCTGCTGCTTTTCAGCATCTAATCTATCAGGACTCTCTAGGCTCTCAAGTGCCTTCGAGCCAGTCAGTTTAAGAGATGGGGGCCCCTTCAGGAGAGCAACACCCCTGAGGGCCTGCCCTTTGGCACGTAGCCTTCTGGCTAAGGCCCACCCCAACTAATGCTGCGCAGACAGATGGTCAGGTCCTGCGGACATCTTCTCCTGACATCTTCTAGTGAAGAGAGAGAAGGACAACAGGGGCACTGGCCCAGGGTCTAAGCAATCTCCTATCAGCCTTGCATCCGCCTGGGCTGTGGCTGTAGCAGGTGAATTTTGCTAACCCATCAATCAGGGACAAGGCTACTTTCTCCTTTTGAGTCTGCAAGAGCCCAAAGGTGAGAAAATGCTCTTTTCTTTCCACCTAACTTCTTTTCTAGGCTAGGATGGGAGATTCCCTCCTTCTCCCACCTCTCTATCTCTTCCTTTCTTCATTTTTTCTCTTCCATCCATATCTTAACCCCCCTCTCCAATACAGACTTAGTTATCAACTTCCCTTTTGCTCTCAAGAACCCAGTGCATGCTTTATCATGGCCTTATCATCTGGCGCTATAATTGCAACTTATTGTCTGTCTCCTCCAGCCTCGGAGCTCATAGCTCTGCCCTGGCCCAATGCCTGGCAGAGTAAGGGTCCCATACAAAGAACCCTTGGGAGACCCCAGTGCCTCTGTTTGCTTCTGTCCACTGGTGTTATGAACTGCCTGCTCTGTGCCTGGCTCTGGGCTTGGGACTAGAAGAGACTTCTTGGCACTAGAAGAGGGAGGAACCAGAAGACTGGTCTCTGCCTTTGAGGCTTATGGACTACACATCAAGACCCTCCTACTACCATCAGGAAGGGCTTGTACAGTAATCTAAAAAATATTATTTAGCCTTGCAGAAGGAAGAGATCAGTGAGGACAGAAGTTATTAGAGAAGGCATTGAGGAAAAGGTGGAATCCTGAAGAATGTGGGAAGTTGGATCAGTGAAGAGGTGGAAAGGAGAGGGCACAGTCAGGGCAGGGTAAATGGAAGTGACTAGTCTGGCCAGGTCAGGCTCAGCTCTGGAGAGAGGTGGGAGAGGATGTAAGGTAGATTCCTGTTTAGTCCCTGCATGTCAAGCACCTACTATGTGCTGCACACTAATTGAGGCGCTTCACATACAGGCTCTCGCCTGCTCCTGAGAGCAGACCTATGGGGGAAGGCAGAGCAGGTAGATAGCAGGGGATGTAGAAGCTCTGAGCAGTTCAGCAAACTATTCAAGGTCAAAAGACAAAGGTACAAAGTCAAAATCTAAACCAAGCCCTTCTGGTTTTGTGGTACTGGGCTGCATTACTCCATTCAGGCTACTATAACAACCTACCATAGATCTGGTGGCTTCTCAACCACAGAAATGTAGTTCTCACTCTTCTGCAGGCTGGGAAGTCCAGGATGAAGGTGGTGGTGGATTTGATGTCTGGGGAGGCCTGCTTCTGGTTCACAGATGGCCATCTTCCTACTTTAACCTCACTTGGTGGAAGTGGTGAGGGAGCTTTCCAGGGTCTCTTACATAAGGGCTAATCCCATCCATGAGGACTCTGCCCTCATGACCCAATCACCTGCCGAAGACCCCACCTCCTGATACCCTTACATTGGGGGTTAGGATTTCTTCATTCACTTTATGAGAGACACAAACATTCACTGCACTGCACGATGCTCAATGGATGATGGCAGTGGTAGAACAGGAGCTGGACATTCATGCATTCATTCAACAAGTATTTCTTGAACACCTAATAGCTGGGTGCTGGGGCTATGCCAGTGAGCAAGACAGGTACAGTTCTGCCTGCATGGTGCCTGCAGTCTAGCAAGGAGGCGGGCTTCAGATTTCAAGAATTATAAAAATATTTATATGGATGTAATTTAAATATGTATTTTTTGTAAACATAAACCTTGTTTTAAAAATAAGACATATATATATATAACTTTGAACAAAAAGCACAGGGTTCTATGACAGCAAGTAACATGTACCAGTGGGTTCAGAGTTCTCTATAGAAGGTACTTAAGGACGATCCTTGGAGGGGGCTAGGGATCTTTTCTTAAAGCTTTATTGCATAGCAAGCACTTTGTTCTCATATACAGTGGTGTGCTGGTAAATGTTGAGCAACCTGCTGGGGGATGGGGAGAATGATTTGTAGTGTGTGCCAGTTTCCTTAGTGTGGAGGCTCCCTTCATGGCCAATTTCATGCTACCAATGTGAAATCTGAAAGCAGCATTGAGAACAGATGCACACAATCAGCTCTGGCACACCACTGAATTATGCTTATTGGGGTGGGGGGCTTTGAAGGGATTGATGGAGATTATGGGGCTCTAAAGCACCCCCAAGCTTCTCCTTAGTGCTGCCTCTGGGCTATCCTACTCTGGAGACACAGAGAGGATTGAGCCTGGCCTCCTCCCTGGGCCATGTTTGGGGACTGTGCTCTAGGTCACCTGCTGACCCCTGCAGATGAGCACGGAGTCCCAGCCTTGGTACTCTCCAGAACCCGTGCTCCCAATCAGGGTGTCAGATCTGGTGAGGTTCCTTCCAGGCCCCCGTACTGTCCACACACGGCACAGTGCCTCTCATGCATCTTCAAAACACTCTGCAGCAGGTGGCCAGGGTGAGCGAGATGTCCCTGCAGACAGCATTTGTGACATTGACAATGTTTGTGGTATGTGGGTTGATTGGACAGGCAGTTGCCTCATAAAGAAAAGAGAGTTGGTCTTGGAGCCAAGAACTTGAATTTGAATCCCAGTTCTGCTGCTTATGGCTCTGGAACTACAGATAAGGCAGGTCACTATTCTAAGCCTCATTCTCCTCCTGTGGGAGTTGAGGAAATGGGTGGTATTAACCCCTGGACATTGTGGAGGGCAGAATGAGATGGCATCTATGAAAGCATCTGCTTGGTGCTGGGTACGTAGAGCTTGAGTTCTGGGTCTTCATGTTTAGTTAACTATAATCCATGGTGACATTTACATCCCACCGAGTCACAGAGTCACAGAATCTGGGCATTGGGGTGGGCTGAAGGGGTTGTAGATTTCTTCTTCCCACCCTATTAAGAACTCCTTTTACAGTATCCCTGATGGTGGCCACCTTGTCTGTGCTTGATTAAGTCTAGAGGTTGAAGTTGGCTACATCTTGGAGACCCAGACAGCACTCAGGGTTAGAAAGTTCTTCCTTTCTCTGTGTCCATCAGCAGGCCTTCCCCTGCATACTCACATATACTCTGACACACGTCAGTAGGAGCATAAATATTTATGACATGTAGCTAATGCAGTCGGCTTATAGGATTCCCAGAGCTTCAGATGGGAGATTTTTGCACGAGAAGCCCTTTATCTGGGGAGGGGTTCTGGATGGGGTAGCGGCAGATGCAGGCTCAGAGATGCTCCTCTTGGCTTCTCTGAGTGTTCTGGAAGCCTGCCCTTCACTGCGGCAGCCCAAGTGTCTGAATTTGCAAGGAAGGTTAGCTGGCAGCTGCCACTGTGGGCTCTGAGCACTGAGAATCAGCCAGCCTTCGGAAGCTTTCACTCAAGAAGCCCCTCCTGGGCTCTGCAGGACCAGGCCTCAGGAGGATGGATCCCCGGTCAGAGGGTCTAAAGTGCTTCTCACCCTGGCCTCCTTGAGGCGGAGCCCTTTGAGAGGGTAGAGCAAAGGGCACTTACACTCACCCTCACTGGCTTCTAGATTTCCTCCAGAGCTGATTGCCGGAAGGAAGTCTTAGATGACTGCCTCTAACCCTCAAAAGGGCCCCTGGTAAAGTCACCCCAGCACATAGCCCACACACCAGGAACTGCAAATATTACAAAGACTTCAAATAGTGTAGCTCAGGGTTCATCCACACATAGGGTCAGTTCCTCCCATGGCTGGCTGGTCAGTGCCCACCATGTGGCTGTATCATCCTCTAGACTTGGGGGTGGGGCTGGGGGTGAGGAGTGGTGGGCAAAGGAGTGAGAGAGCTGGACTCCCTGGAGAGCAATCAGGCTTGGGCATGAGGGTGCTCCTGCCCAGTGGGATCTTTTCTGGGGAGCATCAGCAGGGTAGAGCTCGGGCTAGCCTGGCCATTGGAGCCTGTGCCCAGCCTGATCTGGAGAGGGAACTGGAGAGGAGAGTGCTCCCTGGAAGGGAGGAGAATGGCTTCCAGCTGGACTCTTGATGAGGCAGGATTTAGTCACCCCAGAGCCCCACTTCCAATCCTCTCCAAACCTGCACGCTGAACTGCTACCTCTCCCTTCAGGGTCTTACACTCTGCACATCTATTTTACCAGGATCTAAACTCATTCCTTTTGCACCTTTGATGAAACCGGTCTCCTTTCTCCGACCTTGGACAGCTAGGCTGAGAAAAGGGAGAGAGCAGAGTATCCAGGCTGAAAAAGACTAGCTGTGTGAGCTGGACTGGGAGCCCCAGGCTCTCATTCACCTTTAAACCTGAGCCAGAGAACCATCTCCTCCAGAAAGTCCCTCATCCCCCCACCCACAAAACCAGTGCAATTCCCCCACCCTCTGTTCTCCTAGCACCCTGGTCAGCTCCCGATCGATCACTGCTAACAACATTGCATTAATTTTGTTCATGTGACTGTTTTCTCCAAAAGACTGTAAGCTCTTTAAGAGCAGCATCTGCACACTGTTTGTCTATCTTTGAACTCAGAGTGCTGCCAGGGTTCAACACATAACTATTCATAAATATATAGTGAAAGTTTCCCTGAACTTGAGAAGTTCACAAAGGAAAATTTAAGCCTCAGTGTACACATATTCATGGTTAAGGTAGGGGTGGGATTAAAGTGCGGTAAGAAAGAAGAGACCTGCCTACATTTTTACATTTTCCAGGGGGCTGGTAGGATGAAGCTGAGGAACTGGGGCTGCAATGATGGAAGAAGGTGCGGGGTTCTGAACTCCTGGGCACACGACCAGCTACAGGCCACTCCCTCTGCCTGTGTGTTATTTCCACAGTGGGAGAGGACCATGGTCTTGTGGCATAGAAAGCAACTAGACCTCCAGGACCAAGTGTTAGTATCCACTGGGTGACCAATAAAAGCAGTAGTGATGTTTTTCTGTGTTGAGTGACCTTCCATCCATCACCTGGGAACTCAAGATATCTCTCTGGGGTTCCCACTCTGCTCTCAGCACTGAGCCACCACAGAGATGAGCAAAATCCAGGCCCCTACCTTCTAGGAGCTCCCGGTGTAGCTGGGGTGAGACTCCTAGTGCTTTGATGGGAAATTTGCCAGGGTATAATTACAGAATGCATTGTGTGGTGTGACCATGAGTGTTCTGGGAGGTCAGGGAAGACAGGAATGACTCTTTACCAAAGGCAGATGGCATTCTTGGTGATAGAAAGAAGTACAACACAATTCTCATGGTAGATGTAGACAAGCAACAAACGCACAGAGCAGCATAAATAGAAAAGAAGAAAGGAAGGAAGAAAAAGGAAAAAAGGCAGGAAGCAGGAAGAAAGAAAAGGAAAAAACAGAAAGAAAAAGAAAGGGAAAGAAGGAAGGAAGGAAGGGAGGGAAGGAGGGAGGGAGGGAGGGAAGGAACATTCCACAAGTTACATGTTGACAGCAGGGAGAGGCCACCTCTATGGGCTTGAGAGAAGGAGTCAGAAGCTTGAATGAGCCTTGAAGAAAAGAAAGTATTTAATTAGGGAGAGAAATGCAGAAGCAGCAGGGCAGATCCAAAGATACATGGGTCACTGAAGAGATGGGAATGTGGGTGCTTGGTCTGTGCCTAGAGACTTGCCTCCCTGTCAATGAATTTTTTTGAAGAGTTTGAAGTTAATGCATGCACACCATAAAGAATTAAAACAGTGTAAAACTAGTATTGATTGAAAATCTAAGCTCCCTCCCAGCCTGACTCTTGGCCCACAGTTCCCTTCTCATGTTAAGCTGGTACCTGTCTCATGGGTTATCTTTCCAGATATTTCTAGGGATATAAAAGCTTATATTTTAATGCAAATAGCCACATACTACACATAGTGTTCTATATCTTGTTGGTTTTTTTAAAGAGATGGGGTCTTGCTATGTTGCTCAGACTGGAGTGCAGTGGCTATTCACAAGTGCAGTCATAGGACACTGTGGCCTCTAGCACTTGGCCTCAAGCAATCCTCCCATCTTGGCCTCCCCAGTAGCTTGGACTACAAGTATGTGCCACAACACCCAGCTTGTTGATCTTTTCCTTACTGATTGGTAGGAGCTTTTACTCATTAAAGGAACCATTTGTTCATGATGTTGCAAATATTTTCTCACTCTGTCATTCATGCTTTTACTTTTTTATGGTGGTTTTTGCTACCATAGTAGAAATGTATGATCTGAGCTTATCAGTTTTTTCTTTTATGACTTCAGGGCTTGAACCATACTTAGATTGTGCACACTTCAAGATTATAAAAATATGCTCCCAGATTTTCTTTTGATACTTGTATAGGTTCAATTTTATTTTAAAATATTTGATTAGTGATCTAGTACTAGTTTTTCTTTTTGACTTTTGCTTGTTTAAATTTTTTATTTAATCCTAAATTTATTTTTAATTATTATGGATACATAGTAGTTGCACATATTTAGAAGTAGTTTCAATTTTAGGAATGATTCTGCTTTTTTAAGTTACAATCTATCTTGGATTTCATCCTTACCATTTTATGAAAGTCATCTCATTCTTTTTCACTGTGTTAATAGTTACTCTATCACATGGACTTACTATAATTCATTAAGTGTGGTAACTCATGACTGTAATCTCAGCATTTAGGGAGGATCACTTGAGGCTAGGAGTTTGAGGTCAGCCTAGGCAACATTAAGACCCCCATCTCTAAAAAAAAATAAAAAATAAATTAGCCAGGAGTGGTGGCACATGCCTGTAGTCCCAGCTACTCAGGAGACTGAGGTAGGAGGATCACCTGAGCCCAGGAGTTTTTCAGTGACTTATGATTGTGCCACTGTGCTCCAACCTGAGCAAGAGTGAGACCCCACCTGTTTAAAATAAAAGGGGAATAAGGCTGGAAGCATCACACTATCTGACTATACTACAAACGTAAAATGCACTACAAAGCAATAGCAATCAAAACAGCATGGTACTTACTCGCAGAAAAACAGACACACAAAACAACAGAACAGAATAGAGAGACCAAGAATAAATCTATGCTCTTACAGCCAACTGATTTCCAACAAAGGCATCAAGAACACACATTGGGCAAAGGCCAATCTATCCAATAAAGGGTGCTGAGAAAACTGGATATTCATATGCAGAAAAATGAAACCAGACTCCCTATCTCTCACCATGTCCAAAAATCAAATAGAGACGGATTAAAAACCAATGTAAGGCCCGAAACTGTGAAACTACTGGAAGAAAATTGGGGAACCCCTTCATGACATTGGTCTGGGCAAGGATTTTTTGAATAAGACCAAAAAAGCACACGCAACAAAAGCAAAAACAGGCAAATAGGATTCCATTAAACTAACAAGCTTCTGCACAACAAAGGAAATGATCAGCAGAGTGAAGTGACGACCTACAGAATGGGAGAAAACATTCATATACTTCGCATCTGACAAGGGGTTAATATCCAGGACACACACGGAACTCAAAGAATTGTAAGTCTTAAACGATGGCTTTAAACAAATTTTGTGAAAATTTAACCATCAGGTCTGGTATAAGCCAGCTCCAGGACACCACTGGAAGGGTTCCTGTTTTGGAAGCTGGACTCTGTCCTCCTCTTGGAGCCCTCGGAGAGAGCAAGCGAGGCTGCTCTGTTCTGGAGGCTCCGTGCCCCTGAGGCCTTTGACCCCGTTACCCGCGTTCCTCCCCTTGAAGCCCGGTCCCGCTCTCCCAACACCAGTGTTCTGCTGCCCCCTAATGGCAGCTTCTGCCATCTGCGGCTGTCCGGGAGCTAGATCCACCGCAAAGTCCACCAGCTCCGCTCCAGGATCAGAGACCCCTGAGCAGGTTAAACAATCTTCCCCCTCCACTCCAGACTTTTGGAACCCAAGGACGGCCGGGTCAGAGTACCCAGGACCTCAAGCCCCGCTGCCCCTTGTCCATCCCAGAATCGTGGTTTCCCACTGCCCTCTGCAGTGCCGCGGCGAAGTGATGAGCCCGGCACTGTGGCGCCACCTAGTGCCTCTGCTGGGTCAGTGGCACCTGCACCTGCACTGCCAGCCCCCTGCTGGGAGAATTCCGACTCAAGAACTGTAGTTTGTTGTGTGTTGTTTTTGCTTTGGGGCTCACTGGGAAACTCTCACCAGTCACCTGCATTACAGCCTGGGGCTTCCTGTCACTGTAGAGCAGGTAAGAAGAGGAGGGAAAGAAAAGACCTCAGCAGCACAGCACCAGACCTTCCTCCACTTGGTGGGGCCTTCTGACCACGAATGGTGAATAGTCCAACTAACAACTAAAAGCTCCAGCTGGGAGGACCCTGGAGCTCCCCTGAGCCTGTGGCCTTCAAACGGTACTGACCAAGCCCATCAGTAAGCAGTGCATTTTACAACGCAACAGTCCAGGACACCCCTGCGTTGAAAGAACTCAGGAAGCAATACTTACCCTTAGTATGCATAGCGTATTTTGACACTTCCATTACTTTTGATTCTAAAAAAAAAAAAAAAACTTGCCACAACTTAATAACTGAATTCACAGTTCATTAATGGGTCACCACCTACAGTTTACAAAACAATAATCTAGCCCTCAGTTCACTGAGAAGAAACAGAGGACAAAGAACAAATTTGCCCAATAGCAAATTAGGGGCAGATTCAGATCTAGGATCTAGAATCCAGGTCTCTGATGCCCAGTCTCATCACTTCAAGGCCTCCTCTGGGCTCTGTACCAAGTTCCTTTTGCACTGAAGCACAGAGCTCTGTCTCTCTCTGTGGCCCAGATCTATATAGGGCAGACTGTCAGGATCTGACTGCAGGCCCCTTTGTGCCCTGGAAGTAAGGGGTTGTCAATTGCTGTTTCTCTTATAATGAACTTCTCCTGTTCTAGCACAAGGCGGCAGCAAAGAGAAGCAAATGGCCTTGATAGTTGGAAGGAAAAAGGAGAAAATAGGCTCTGGGCAGTTCCGGTAACCTAACAAGTAAATGAGTAGCGTTAGCGTTTTGCTTGAGATCAAAAGCCAAAGGGCGGTATTTTGTCAAAGACCTTTGGAACTTAATTTTAAAAGTTAAGGAGGGCCAGGCATGGTGGCTCACACCTGTAATCCCAGCACTTTGGGAGGCTGAGGCAGGGAGATTCCTTGAGTCCAGGAGTTTGAGACCAGCCTGACAACATAGCGAGATCTTGTCTCTACAAATAAAAAACAAAAAATTAGCTGGGTGTTGTGGTGCACATCTGTGGTTCCAGCTTCTTAAGAGGCTGAGGCACGAGGATCCCTTGAGCCCAGGAGGTTGAGGTTGCAGTGAGCTGTAATCATACCACTGCACTCTAGCCTGGGTGACAGAGCAAGACCCTGTCTCAAAATAAATAAAGGCTAAAGGGTGTTGGGAATACTCTAGTCTAAACAATACCTGATGCACTGTTTGTTGCAGGAGTGTTGATAAAAAAGAAATCCGTAATCTTCCTAGAGAGCATATGAATTTTATTTTAAAATTTTAAAATGTTCAAACCCACTGATCCAGAAATTCCACTAAAAGGAATATATAAAGTGCTAATTTTATCCATACAAAGTTGGTCACCACAACATTTGATATTTTTTTGACAGAAAGAGCTAAATAATATCTACATGGAATTAGTTTTAAATCTTGTGTACACCAAAACCAAAAATGTAATACTATGCAGCCAGTAGGTAGGATGATGTAGAATGTGAAAAGCAGTTTACAAAATCCTATGTGTAGTATGCTCCCATCTGTGTAAAGTGCCCAGGGATTCTCTAGGTACTGGGGTGAAGGTGGGGTGCCTCTCTGAAGAATGGAGTCATCATTCAGAATCACCTGGAGAGATTTTATAAACCACAGTCTTCCCCAACCACTCACCCCAGGAAAGTGTGATATGCCCCTTTGGGAGATATGGTTACATTTGAGAATCATTTCAGGAAGGGAAAAGGATAGAGAACTGCTGGAGGTGTACATATAACCATTTGTGTGTACATGCATGTGAGATGGTAGTGGGATGCTTCCCAGAATGACAGCATCAGTCTTCTCTGAGTGGTGAGATTTTCAAGTGTTTTTCAATAATAATAATGACAATAATGATACTTAGAATAATCATGATAAAAATAGTTTGTTTAATCATCTACCTGTTGAAGGACATCTGGGCTATTTTGAATTTTCACCTATTACAAATAAAGCTGCCATGAACACTTGGTGTACAGGTTTTGGTGTGAACGTAAGTTTTTATTTCTTAGACATAAATGTCCAAGAGTGCAATTAAGGCTTGTTTTATGGCCTAGCATATGGCCTATCCCTGATGTTCCATGTGCACTTGAGAAGGATATATATTCTGTTGTTGGATAGAGTGTTTCATAGATGGCTGTTAGGTTCAGTTGGTTTACAGTGTTGTTACAGTTTTCTATTTCCTTGTTGATCTTCTGTCCAGTGGTTCTGTCTATTTTTGAAAGTGGGATGTTGAAGTCTCCAACTATTACTGTTGAATTGTCTATTTAATTTCTGTCAGGTTTTGCTTCATGTATTTTGGTGCTCTGATATTAGGTGCATATATGTTTATAATTTTTACATCTTTCTGATGAATTGAACTTTTTGTCATTATAAAATGCCTTTGTTTGTCTCTAGGGACATTTTTTATTTTGAAGTGTTTTGTTTTATATCAATCAGTATAGCTGCCCCAGCTTTCTTGTGGTTGCTGTTTGCATAATATATATTTTTTCCACTTTTCTACTTTCTATTTGTATCTTTAAATAAAAAGCATGTCAGATAACCTCTGTCTCTAGGAACAGGAAAAGATTTCATGATGAAGACACCAAACGCAATTGCAACAAAAGCAAAAATTGACAAATGGGATCTAATTAAACTAAAGTACTTCAGCGCAGCAAAAGAAACTATCAACAAATTAAACAGACAACCTACAGAATGGGAGAAAATTTTTGCAAACTATGCATCAAAGATCTAATATCCAGTGTCTATTAGGAAGTTAAATTTGACCTTTGTCTAATATCCAGCATCTATATACAAGTTCCTTATAGATGCTCTCATTGTGTAAAGGGATTCTCTAGGTCATGCCCATGTAGCCCTGAACTTAAAATAAAAGTAAAAAAAAAAAAAAAAAAAAAGCAAGTCTACTGTAGACAGCATATAGAGTTAGATGATGTGTTTTTTTCCCAGATAATCTGTCTTTTGATTGAATTGTTTAATCTATTCATATATATTGATATGGTTGGATTTACATCTGCCATTTTACTTTTTGTTTCCTATGTCTCATGTCTTTTTTGTTGCCCCATTACAAAGTGGGCAAAACATGAACAGACACTTTTTCACTTTTCAAAAGAAGACATACATGCTGCCAACAAGCATATGAAAAAAGCTCAACATACTTGATCATTAGAGAAATGTAAGTCAAAGCCACAATGAGATACCATCTCACACCAGTCAGAATGGATACATTAAAAAGTTGCTGGCAAGGTTGCAGAGAAAGAGGAATGCTTATACCAAGTTTGTCCAACCTGCGACCCCCAGGCCACATACAGCCCAGGACGGTTTTGAATGTGGCCCTACACAAATTCATAAACTTTCTTAAAACATTATGAGATTTTTTTTTTTGCAATTTTTTTTAGCTCATTAGCTATTGTTAGTGTTAGTGTTGTTAGTGTTCTTTTTTTTTTTTTTTTTTTTTGAGATGGAGTCTCACTTCTGTCACCACGCTGGAGTGCAGTGGTACGATTTCAGCTCACTGCAATCTCTGCCTCCTGGGTTCAAGCGATTCTCCTGCCTCAGCCTCCCGAGTAGCTGGGACTACAGGCACCCGCCACCACGCCTGGCTAATTTTTTGTATTTTTAGTAGATACGGGGTTTCACCATATTAGCCAGGATGGTCTCGATCTCCGACCTCTTGATCTGCCCGCCTCAGCCTCCCAAAGTGCTGGGATTACAGGCGTGAGCCACCACGTCTGACTCATACACATCTTAAGTCATCAGAATTAGCTTTAGGTTTACACTAGCTTAATTCCAGTGATACATAGAAATGTTTCTTATATATAGTTCTATTCCCTCTCCTCCCTCTTCTGTGGTATTATTATTAAATCAGTTGTCTTTTTTTTTTTTTCTTTTTGAGAGACAGGGTCTCACTCTGTTGCCTAGGCTGGAGTGCAGTGGCATGATCATGGTTCACTGCAGCCTTGAACTCCTGGACGCAAGCAATCACCCTGCCTCAGCCTCCCAAGTTGCTGGGACTACAGGTCCCAACTACTTGGCCATAACATTTATATAACTTTTAAATTTTTGTAGAAGTAGGGGTCTTACTATGTTGCCCAGGCTGGTCTCAAACTCCTGGGTTCAAGTGATCCACCTGCCTTGGCTTCCCAAAGTGCTGGGATTACAGGTGTGAGTCACAGCATCTGGCTGAGGAGCTTTTGAAACCTACAGTTTTCTGGACTCCACCCTAGACCTACAGAATCAGAATCTATATATTTTTAAAGCTCCCGGGTGATTCTGATGATTGACAAGTTTGGGGATCTCTTTTCTAGAAGGTGAGGAAACTGAGGCTAAGATGTAGCACCAGCCATACTCCCAGGGGATGACCAGCCTGTGCCCAGAGCCCAGGCCTTCCAGCTCCCAACCCATACTCTTCCCCGCACACCCTGCTGCTTCCCCATGTGACTGCCCTATGACCTCTCTGTCAGTTTCCTGCTTTTGGCTCCTGCCAGCTTCTCAAAGAGGTAAAATGGATTAGGAGGGGAATCAAGTGCCTTGTAGATTATTGTGCCTTCATGGATTTGAGGGGAAAGTTGGAGACCTTGTACAACCTTTTCCATGGTGACCAACAAGGACCTGGATGAGTCATTCCAAGAAAGGCTTACTCCTCTTTGTTACCTATGAGGAGCTAATACCATAAACTAAAGAATAATCCACCCACTCATTCATCATTTATTAAGTGTCTAGTATATGCCAGGAGTTAGGGCAGGCATTGTAAATAAAAAGATGAATGAGATGCAACTCCTGTTCTCAAGATGTTTATGAAGAACAATGAAGTAAAGAATACATGGAAAATATTTAACCTACTCAAAAAGTTTTGTAAACAGATTTTTTTTATAATAACTTATGTGGTAGCAACATCTGATTAAACCTGAAAATATTTGGTGCGAAAACCTGAGCTGAACTGACATAAGTTAAGGAAATGAATTATAGCTTTATTCATGTCACTTAGTGTGAATATTCATACCTTTTACTGCATACATATTAATGTGTTTGATTTACAAAATTATGCCTCAGACCTCACTGGAGTTGTGACATAACGAATAGTATCTGAACCAAATAATCTTTCTAAAATCTGAAAAATTATGAATTCTAAAATACATCTGGCTCAAGGATTTCAGATAAGGGATTGTGTATCTGTATTTTTTAAGTTCCTTTTGGTTCAGGAGGAATTCCAGAGCTTTGAAGTTCATGGCCATGGTATAAGGCAGAACTTCCAGAAAGAGCCTCTGAATGATAACTGAGATACACGTGTAAGAGCTTCAGCTCTATGTAGGTCAGCCAGGCTACAGCCCTTTATCTTCTATTGCTACAGAGCACTGGACTAAATTTGGCTGGTGAATCTTCTATAGCATCATGCCATAAGCTTGGAGATGGTCTCACCAACTTTGGCAAAGGGCCAAAGAAACAACTGGAACTGTACTGACCCCACAAAGCCAGGGCAGACCCCTCTGCAGGTGCTGGGCAGTGACTCTGAGCCTCTGTCCAGCAGTCAGTGCACAAGTCAGGTTGGGGTCTGACAGGAGGGAACAATTTCCCCAGCAGCTATGTGCAACTCAGCAATGGGAAATCCAGGCATGAAGACATGGAGAATCCAGGGTGAGAGGTAGGCAGCAAGGTGCAACCCTAGACAAGGGGCTCAGGACAGGCCTTCGGTCCCAGAGAAGAGGACAGGTAAAGGCAAGCAAGGACTCAGTCTGAGAAGCTGCCAAGGCAAGAGCTCAGTCAGTGGGGACAGTACAGACGACAAGTTACCTGCCTGAGATTAAAGCAGGGACTGGGCCTCAAGTATGAGACTGGGCCTGCTCAGTATCAAGGCTGCCTGGATCTGAGTTGCACTCTAGAGAGCTAAGTCTTTCCCTACTAAGGTCTAGTTCGACCCCTGAGACTGAGCATGGACCAGATTCAAGGAAGGTTCCCTCTGCAGGCAGGGCCTGGCACCAGAGACCAAAGGTCCACAGAGAAGAGAGATTAGGAATCCCTCCAGTCCTAGGCACCATAGTGACTTGATTTGGTCCCTGTGCAGTAGAGAATGACCTTCCCCACAGAAAGGTTTGATCCTTGCCCAGATGCTGGGAGGTAACCCCTAAGCCCATAGAATATCCTGCCTGATAAGGGTGTGTTTGTTTACCTGCAGGTCTATGGCCATGCCGGGTAGTTTGAATGCTAACAATGCAGTATATGGAATTGGGGGCAGGAAGAAGGTGTTAAACCACCCACTGTCAGTTTGGTTTCTGGAGGGGCTGGAGACTAAGATGTGTGCGATCAGTCACACCTACATGATTAACTCCCAGTAAAAAGCCCTGGACCCCAAGGCTTGGGTGAGCCCCTCTAGCTGGCAGTACTCTCCGTGTGTTGCCCCATATCACTGCTGAGAGAAGTAGGCACTGTCCACAAGCCTTTCCTGGGAAAGGACAACTGGACACTCACACCTGTTCTCTCCTGGCCCAGCCTTATGTGTGTAATGGTTTTTCTGAGTTCTCCAGGTCCTTCTAGTAAATCACTGAAACTGTAGGCGGTCTTGGGGACCTCCCAAACTCCCAAATGGGGCAGTCCCATTTTCCTCCCTAAAACAGACCCCAGATGGACCCTGAATGCCAGGCCTTTTCGTGTCATTCTTATTCCTCCAGGCGCTCCACCATCTCAAGTGCCTCAATGACCCGCTGAATCCCTCTGCAGATCAGTGTGCCATGGCAGCCAGTCTCTTCATCCCCACGACTGGGGCCAGGGGGAGACAGTGCAGCTATGTGAGTGTTCCATCTGCACCGGGTCACAGAGTTCCGTGTCTATTTCTGGCTTCCAGGCCACTTTCCAACAAGAAGTCCAATTATGGAACTAAAATGTGACTTGGACATTGTATATTAGCAATGATTTTATGAGTTCCTATATAAATAACTCACCCTTAACCCCCCACTCCCCACTCAGTGGAGGAGCTGCCTGATCACAGTGAGATCTCCAGCAAGTCCCTTCTCATCTCCAGACTTCAGCTTCCTCCCTATAAACTAATACCTGCCCTGCCGACTCTATAGCTCATGAAGACTAATTATAACCTAGTGTCTGTAAGTGCTTTGTGATATGCAAACTTCAGGAAAGGACATTTTCAGAGGGAGCACAGAGGGTTCTGCTCTGACTAGCTTTGGGTAAAAGCCAAAACTTTTGTCTATGTCTCCTATGTCTCCATTTTCCTTAGAAAAATATTTTATTACCAGCAAACTAAAATAACAACCTTCAAGAAAATTTAAAAAATAGAATGTAGAGCAGGAGAGTACATTCACTTATGCTTTGTGAGTTCCCCGCCCCTATTTCTTTATAAGCATAATTTTAATTGCCTATAACATAGAAAAAGGCTCTCCTCCCTTCACATTTTCACCTAAACCCCTTCTTTTCACCAAGGGAAGTCAACCTTAGTCGTGATTTCACTTTCACTGTGATCCTTGCCCCGATCCCCATAATTCTGGGGGCTTTCCTGCCCGCTGGTCCCTTCCCTTGGTTGTCCCAGCTGATCCCTGCATGGCACAGACACAGCATTATCATTGATGAAGTGTTTTTCCAGAGCAACCACAGCCCAGGTGGTGAGATAGGCATTATTACCCTGTGGGCTCCCTCAGGTGCCACAGCCTGATCCCTCTCAACTTCTCTAATGAGCTGGAAGACAGGAAAAATAACCTCATGAATATGCAGGTGCCATGTCCTGAGACTGGGATCTGTCCTCATCTCTTCTTCCTAAGACATCCTTGCTCCCTCTTCCATTTTTTCCCCACGTTGCTCCCCACCCAGAAGAATCAATAGAGACCAGCAGGATGAAAAAGGCTTTTCACCACCAACCCCCCAAGGAAAAGAAGCAATTCACAAAAAGCTAAAAATCTGAAGTTTTAGCCCAAACAGTCATGCAAACTTTGCTTTCTACTTTAAAATGTATCTACATTTGCTTAAGACATATGCAGTTGGTCCTTGAGCAATGCAGGGTTAGGGACCCCTGCACAGTCAAACATTTGTGTATCTTTTGACTCTCTAAAAACTCAATTACTAATAGCCTATCGTTGACCGAAAGCCTTACCAATAATGTAAGTAGGCAATTAACACACATTTTATGTGTTAATATATTATATGTACATTTTATATATATTATATGTTATGTATATTATGTACTGTATTGTTACAATAAAGTAAGCTAGAGAAAAGGAAATGTTATTAAGAAAATCTGGCCAGGTGCGGTGGCTCATGCTGATAATCCCAGCACTTTGGGAAGCTGAGGAGGGCAGATTACCTGAGGGCAGGAGTTCAAGACCAGCCTGGCCAACGTGGTGAAACCCCATCTCTACTAAAAATACAAAAATAAGCCAGGTGTGGTGGCGGGCACCTGTAATCCTAGCTACTCCAGAGGCTGAGGTGGGGGAATCACTTGAACCTGGGAGGCGGAGGTTACAGTGAGCGGAGATCATGCCACTGCCCTCCAGCCCGGGTGACAAGAGTGAGACTCCACCTCCCCCCCAAAAAATGAAAATCTTAAAGAAGAGAAAATATACTTATTTACTATTCATTAAGTGGAAGTGGATCATCGTAAAGGCCTTTATTCTCTTGTTTTCTTCATGTCGAGTAGGTTGAGGAGGAGGATAAGGAGGGGTTGGCCTTGCTGTCTCAGGGGTGGCAGAGGTGAGAGAAAATTCACATATAAGTGGACTCACACAGTTCAAACCCATGTTATTCAAGGGTCAGCTGAACAGCCATATCTCATTTTATTCTGCTTCATTTTATTTTACTTCCCAGATACTGGGAAGATGCCATCTAGGACTTTCATAGCTACAGAGGAAAAGTCAATGCTTGGCTTCAAAGCTTCAAAGACTGACTCTCTTGTTATGAGCTAAGGCAGCTGGTGACTTGAAGTTAAACCCAACACTCATTTACCGCTTTGAAAATCCTAGGACCCTTAATAATGATGCGAAATCTACTTTGCCTGTGCTCTATCAATGGAACAGCAAAGCCTGGATGACAGCATATCTGTTTAAAGCATGGTTTACTGAATATATTATATACGTGTGCCTGTGTGTGTGTGTGCTTGTGTGGGGGTGGGAGGGGAGAGAGAGAGAGGGAGAGAGAGAGAGACAGGGTCTCACTCTGTTACCCAGGCTGGAGTGCAGTGGCACAATCTCAGCTCACTTCAGCCTTGACCTCCTGGGCTCAAGTGATCCTCCTACCTCAGCCTCCTGAGTAGCTAGAACTAGACACACACCACAACACCTGGCAAATTTTGTTTGTTTGTTTGTTTGTAGAGACAAGGTCTTACTGTGTTGCCCAGGCTGGAGTTTACTGATTATTTTAAGCCCGTTGTTGAGACCAACAGCTGAGAAAAAAATCCTTTCAAAATATTATTGTTTATTGACAATAAAACTGGTCACCCAAGAGCTCTGATGGAGATGTACAAGGAGATGAATGTTGTTTTCATGCCTACTAGCTCAACATCCATTCAATAGCTCATGGAACAAGAAGTAATTTTGACTTCTGAGTCTTACTATTTAAGAAATACGTCTTCTAAGGCTATAGCTGCCAAAGATAATGATTCTTCTAATGGATTTGGGTAAAGAAAATTGAAAACATTCTGGAAAGGATTCACCATTCTAGATGCCATTAAGAACACTCATGATTCATGGGAAGAGGGAAGAAGTTGGTTCCAACCCTCACGATGACTTTGAGGGGTTGAAGATTTCAATGGAGGAAGTAATTGCAGATGTGGTGGAAACAGTAAGAGAACCAGAGTTAGAAATGGAGCCTGAAGATATGACTGCGTTGCTGCAATCTCATGATCAAACTTAAACGAATGAGGAGCTGCTTCTTATGAATGAGCAAAGAAAATGTTTTGTTTTGTTTTGTGACAGAGTTTTAGCTCTGTCACCCAGGCTGGAGTGCAGTGGCACAATTTCAGCTCACCGCAACCTCTTGCCTCCCGGGTTCAAGCAATTCTCATGCCTCAGCCTCCCAAGTGGCAGGGACCACAGGCACCTGCCACCACAGCTGGCTAATTTTTATATTTTTAACAGAGACAGGGTTTCACCATGTTGGCCAGGCTGGTCTCAAACCCTTGACCTCAAGTGATCTGCCCACCTCGACCTCCCAAAGTGCTGGGATTCCAGGTGTGAGCCATCACGCCTGGTGAAAAGTGGTTTCTTGAGATGAAATCCACTCCTGGTGAAGATGCTGTGAACATTGTTGAAATGACAATAAAGGATTTCGGATATTACATAAACTTAGTTGATAAAGCAGTGGCAGCTTTTGAGAGGACTGACTCCAATTTTGAAAGAAGCTCTACCGTGGGTAAAATGCTATCAAACAGCATTGCACGCTACTTTAGTAAAAGGAAGAGTCAACTGATAAGGCAAACTTCATTGTTATTTTAAGAAATTGCCACGGCCATCCCAACTTTCAGCAACCACCACTCTGATCAGTGAGCAGCCATCAACATGAGGCAACACCCTCCACCAGCAAAAAGATTACGACTCGCTGAAGCCTCTGATGATTGTTAGCATTTTTTAGCAATAAAGTATTTTTAAATTAAGGCATGCACATTGTTTTTAAAGATGTGCTATTGCACACTTGATAGACTACATTATAGTATAAACGTGACTTTTATAGGCAGTGGGAAACTGATAAATTTGTGTGACTTGCTTTATTGAAATATTCCCTTTATTGTGGTGGTGTGGAGCCAAACCTGCAGTATCTCGGAGGTATGCCTGGTAGTTTTTGGTTAAAAGCACAGACTCTGAGGCTGGGCGCAATGGCTCACACCTGGAATCCCAGCACTTTGGGAGACGGAGGCAGATGGATCACTTGAGGTCAGCAGTTAGAGACAAGCCTGGCCAACATGGTGAAACCCTGTCTCTACTAAAACTACAAAAATTAGCTGGGTGTGGTGGCACATGCATGTAATTCAAGCTACTCAGGAGACTGAAGCAGAAGAATTGCTTGAACCCAGGAGGCAGAGGTTGCAGCAAACTGAGATCACACCACCGCACTCCAGCCTGGGCAGCAGAGCAAGACTCCAGCTCAAAAAAAAAAAAAAAAAAAAGTACAGACTTGGAACCATACCACATAGGTTCAAATCCAGCTCTTCAGTTTGCTAGCTAGGAGACCTTGGGTAACATATTTAACCTGTCTTTAGCCTAGGTTTTCTCATCACATTGTAGTAATGATTCAATGTGCTTTATCTGTTATCAAGTTCTTAGAGACATGCATATGGTAATCACTACTTGCGTTAGCTATTATTATTTCAGTATACAAATACATAAAATTACCTTCTAGCTAGATTACAAAACTTTCCCCATTCTACCCATGTTCTCATTAAATCTGAGCCAAAATGATGATCCATGAAGATATTTCATGTTCTAGAACCCTTGTTATAGCACTGATACCCCATGTTGAAGTGCATGGAAATAGAGAAAAGTTGGCCCCAGAGCAATCCCAGCCAAAGGCCCTGTAGCAGGGTGTTTGATGCCAACCGGACCAATGCTAAAACCCTTTTGACTGGTGCCAAAGCCCAGCCCAACCTTGTGTGACTGCAGGTTTCTATCTTACTGCTCCTGAACGCAGGCCTATTTGTCAGCCTTGGTACTGTCTTTGCTCATGTTGAGTTCAATTTGGTGCATATTTACTGAAGAAGGGAATGTGAAAAGCAGGATAAAGGAAGTTGCCAAGCCAGGATGTGTCCATGTAAAGGCACATCATACTTTGGCCTGATTCACAGATACTCTGAGTGTAACTCCTCCGAAGAATAGTCATCCTTGAGGCAAGGGGAAGGGATTTTTGCCCCTTGTAAGTCATCACTGGCAACTGCAACCTCCACGCATCTCAGGGAGAGGCAGGTCCTGAAGTGGGATCAGGGCTTCAGGGAGGGACACAGGTGTGACCCCTTCCCCATTAGCTGCAGCACTCACAGCAGCTGGGGGATGGCAGCACCAGCTCTAAAGTGGATATGGCTGGGTCACTAGCAGTGTCTATGTCTGGTTTCCACTTTTTAAGAACGCATCATGCATCATGAGGTTGCCATGGAAGCTATGACACAGAAATTCTAAGCTGGAAGTGGCAATAACAACAGGGACACAGACATGTGACTGAGTGGCTCCAGGGCAATAATGTGCCGGAACAAGCTTATGCCAGCTCACAGGAGCTGATTGTTAAATTTTCAGGAACTTTGCAAGCCAGCTGTGAGAGACAGCCATCAGGAAACATTAAATTATATAAACTTACAATTAAATAATTACATTAAATGAAAAAGTAGAAATAACTCGAAACCCATCATTTTCTAATGATTTTCCTGTGTTTTACTATTATCTATGATCTTGAGGTTATTTACGTTCATAGTAGCTGTATGGTGGAAATGTAATATAATGGTCTCTCCTTCATCACATTGAGTGACATCATGTTGTCATCTTGAGATTGACCATGGCAGGGGAATTTACATCACAGAAATCAGAAAATGCTATACCTCAGGGGTTTTTTTCTTTCCAGTGAACCAGTTGTTAACTATTTACTAGCGCACCACTGATTCAGATGGACTCATTCTCCCCCTAATATGCACCAACGCACACAATAGCCGAATGCTTATCCATGGAGAGGTTCTTCCTGGGCAAGGATGGATGAGCAGCTTTTGTTTGCTCTTGGAGTTTTTTAAAGCTGAGTCTGAATAAGAAAAGGGGTTTCATTTCTCTCACTCCTACATCTTTGCAGGTAGGATTCACCTGGTCATAGCACTTGGTTCGTATGTAGCAGAGGGAACTTATGGCCCATGAAAATGTCTCAGGTACTTTTAATATTTTCCTTAAATGATGACTGTTCATCAATTTGTTTAAAATGCTCTCTTGTGTCTGAGAGGATATGGCACCACTTATTTCAGTCCCAGCTTCAATGAGGGGGTGAATGATGAGGACTTATTACAAGTCAGAAAGTCCCTAAGGAAATATAAGGAAAATATCATTTACTGCAGCTCCTAACACCTAAGAACTGAAGGAGTGAGTCCACTTGGGGCCCTGAGAAGGAACAAGATTTAATTATTAAGGCTATGTTATTTATAAAGCTTAATAGAGTAATTCTTTGTTGCTAATGAAGTCGTAGAGGACCCTTAAAAGGAAGCCTGCACAATTACATGTAAAACTGTGACAAATCTTGTATTTAGAAGCATACACCATCCCATCTGCCACTGTCAGATCCACTCTCCCAGGTCTACCCAGAGGAGGTGGGAGGCAGGAAGGCCACCCACCTCGGGCCTGGCCTCTCAGGTGTGCAGTTTGCAGACCTGAAATATAAAAGCTTATTTTAAACAGACAACTCCTCCAGCCCACTTCCCAGGGGTTCTGTGCTAATAAATTGGCATTAATAAGATAAACTAATTGGGGGTGGCCAGGCCCACAGGCTGGGTTCTCAGCTGCGACCTCCTGGCTCCATGCCCTACTCCTGCTGATCCTGCCAGCCAGCAGAAATTGTGTTGGGGGTGGAGGCAGGGGCAGGACAGGATAGAAACAGAGGAGTCTGGGGTCTGGGGTCTAGGGTCTAGAGACTGGAGCACAGTACCCCTGACTTGCTACAAAGTGAAGGCGAAGTCTCCTTTCCTTTTCCCCAGCTGGGTGGGTCTGGCCCAGTGCAGGAGACATCCTTAACCATTTGGACTTAACAGTTTCTTTAACAGAATAAAATAATAACCCACAGGAAGTGAAAAAGACCCTCAAGGTACAGGGACCACATTTTCCTGATAGAAAGCTGAGGTACTTCTGGTAGGTAATAGCTTAAAAAAAGAAAACTGAGACACTTTCTGTGACAAAAGATTTTCAGACATTTGCTATGTGCAAGAAGCAGTGTCAGAAAGACAATTTAGAGGCTGAAATGTTGCAATGGATAGGACATTTCCATGGTTTATTGAAAACAACAGAAAGACCATCATAAATCTTACCTTATCCAGAAAAATCAGTGGTTGCCATGATGGAGACCTTCTGTGGTTGCTACGTGAAGACAAATATTTTCTTTGGCTATATTTCAATAGCCAGCATGGTTATTTCTGTCTAATATGTTTATTTCTCCAGGAAATAATTCTAGCCAAGTAATGTCCATTTCAAGAAGGGAAACAGACACTAGTTTTTAGGCTGTGAGGACGTCAAACCTCTTTGTATTTCCCTTCTTCGGTCTGTTCATTCTCTCTATATTTGATGATACCTACGCATAGTCTGTTTACTTCATTTGACCCATATTTACTCATCGAGAGGCCATTCTTTACAATGTGTTTTCAGATGTTCTCATGCCTGTCTTAGACTATAAATGTCTGTGTAATTCTTTGATCAGCAGCTAGCACAGCAGCGGTCACAGTACTGCACACAGAGAGGTCCTTCATTCATACAGGCCCACTCTGAACAGTTGTGCAGGTCACGCACTGCATAACTTCAGCTGGGCCCATCATAATGTAGTCCAGTGCTGTTCAATAGAACTTTCTGCAATTATAGCAATGTTCTTTAATCTGTGTCATTTAATACAGTGGCCGCTAGGCACATGCAGCTCTTGTACACTTATAATGTGGTTAGTGTGACTGAAGAGCTGAATTTTTAATTTTAGTTAAATTTAAATAGTCACATGCGGCTAGTGGCTACTGTCATTGGATAGCACTGTCTATATTCATAGCAGCTCTGCTTTTATTCATACTTTTATTTATCATGCACTCATCCATAGCTTCAGCTATGAGCAGTGTATAGTGCTGGACCCTGTAGATACAATGAGAGGAAGATGGTCCCTGTTCTAGGAAACTTCCAGTTGGAAACGCAGTGCAGTAAGTGCTATGAGGGAAGCCCTTACTGTGTACACTGCTGCACAGATGAGAGGCTGAGTCTGGCAGAGGAAGAGTTTTTTGTTTTGTTTTGTTTTGTTTTTCACACCAGAGATGTTTAAGCTGAGTCTTCAGAAAGGAGTACATCACAAAGACAAAGTGAGTAAGGGCTTTCCGGAAAAGAGATTGTTTTAATATATTTTGTTTTGGGTTTTTTTTTTTTTTTTTTTTTTTAAGGACCAGAATGTCTCACTGTGTTGCCCAGGCTGGAGTGCAGTAGCTATTCACAAAAATGGTCATTGCACAATGAAGCCTCCAATACCTGGGGTCAAGCAATCCTCCCACCTCACCCTCTCAAGTAGCTGGGACTGTAGGCATGCGCCACCGCACCAGGCTTTTAATATGTTTTAACCATTTGATTAAGATGAAATGAATGCCTTTGTGGTTAGCTGGGCACAATCACTCTCAAGACTATTAACACAAATACGTTTGCAAGACAACTGCAAAAGGAAAAGCTCTTTTGATAAAGGTTTTCTAAATTCCAGGGTTCCCACCTGGGGAGGGACCATATTTCCCTGTCTAGGGACAGGATTATGAAGCAACCCACCTAGAAGACCAGTCCTCAAAGTCCTCCAGAAAGACAAGGTTTCATATGTTTATAGAGAGAGTTTGCAGTTGGGCTTTTCTTGCTGGTTGGCTCATTAGAAGTAAGAGAGAGAGAAATAGCTTATTTTACTACTATTGTTAATAAACAGGTATAGGCCTGATATGGTTTGGATCTGTGTTCCCACCCAAATCTCATGTCAAATTGTAATCCTCAATGTTTTAGGTGGGGCCTGGTGGGAGGGGATTAGATCATGAGAGTGGTTTCTCATGGTTTAACATCATCCTCCTTGGTGCTGTCATCGCGATAGTGAGATCTGGTTATTTAAAAGTATGTGGCACCTCCCCTTCACCTCTCTTCCTCCTGCTCTGGCCATGTGAAGATGCCTGCCCTTCTGCCATCAGTAAAATTCCCTGAGGCCTCCCCAGAAGCTGATACTGCCATGCTTCCTATACCACCTGAAGAACCATGAGCCAACTAAACCTCTTTTCTTTGTAAATTACCCAGTCTCAGGTATTTCTTTATAGCAATGACAGAACAGACTAATACAAGGCCTTTCATCATGGTAGAGAAAGACTCCAAAAATCCTACTCTTTCTAATATATTTATGCAGGTGAAATTCAAAGGTAGTCTTTAAAGGTGGAAACATGCTCTGTATAAAAGCAGACGGTGGGGCAGTTCCACCCTTTGCCTCCCTCACTCTTGGAGCAGGGACAGGTCTGATACCCAGGCCTAGAGTCAAGGCTGGTTAATGGCTATTCCAAAGCTTCTCTCTCCTCCTCTCTAACTTCCCCATTCACTGCCCCATCTCTCAAATTCCATTCCAGGAATGGAATTTCACCTACGTACAGTGGAAGACTAATTCTATGTAGCTTGGGGAGGTCTCTGCATCTGGAAGGTAAAAGCTCTAACACATGCACATTTCCAAGTGACTTCATAAACTGAGCTCTATGGCTGGCCCTTGGCAGTGGTGGGCAAGAGGCAACTCCCAAGGAGATTTTTATTTTTTAATTTCAAAGCGGGAAGTAAGAGAGCAGATGGAAAGATGCTCTCCAGCTTGGAGTTGGGCTGAGTGCTTCCTTTCCTTTGGCTACTCCCCAGCATGGGGGGAAGAAAATTCTAGGCACTTGAGAATGTGACAGGTGTTGGGGGGTGATGAGGACCTGCAGACAGCATGGGGTCTCCACATCTGCCACTGCTTTGGATCACCAGCATGTGTGCACTGGCCAAATGGGAGAAGGACCAGAGCCCTGTTCCTGGATCCCTCCCTCCTTCCCTTAATGCTGTGTGCAAATTGGGATGCAACTTTCCCCCTTGGCCTAGGGAGAGACTAGAAGATGCTGAGGGAGAGATGAGATAAGAGATCAAAGAGTCTAGTAGCTTCTTGGGGGACCTATGGGAAATTCCTAGTGGTTTTTCCCATTGGCTTTCACTGCACCTGTCTTCCTGCCCTCCTGCATTATGGGGGGGGCCTATATTCCTGGAACTTTCTAAAATTTGCCCCTCTACATTCCTTCTGAACATGCTACTCTGCTTGCTTTTCTGCATCCTCATCCACCTGCTTTGCTAGAGCTCAGCATGACTATCACTCTGCTCTTGTTCTTCCTCATGATAGTGACACAGGATTGTTCCCTTGACCCCCTTTGTGGGCAGGAACTGGAGTGGCTCATTTCACTCAGCCTGCTGATGGCCACTCCTGGCAGAAGGGAGTGTGTGAGTGAGTGCGGGAACCAGAGTGAACGAATGCTAGAACTAGCCGGTCACTCCTCTCTGGTGGGAGCAAGCTCTGTGTGGGCCCTGCAGCAGCATCCAAGTGTGTTGCAATGGATGCTCTTTCAGCTCTGCTGTCCAGAGATGGCCAAGTGTCAGTCAGCTCAGTGGAAGGTCAGGGTGGCAGCCCCTGCCCTCTCAGCACCCGGGTTCTTGTCCAGTGTCCAGGAAGAATCAGGTCACATGAACTGTTTGAAAGGTGATGAGTGTGGAAGACTTTATTGAGTGGTGGTTGGCTCTCAGTGGAAAGGGAGCCTGGAAAGGGGATGGGAAGGTAATCTTTCTCTGAAGCCTGGCTGTCTCCATCTGGGCCCCTCTCTGAAGCCACACTGCCTGAAATTAGCCATGTCTATCCACAGTCTCTGATGTTCAGTTGCTTCTCTGCTCACTGCTCAGCCACTTGTCTCCTTGCCACTCAGCCACTTGTGTTTCTCTGCCAGCTAAAGTCTTTTATGGGCAAGGGATAGGGGCAGGGCAGGCCAAAAAGGCAACATTTGGGAGGAAAAGTGGGGTCAGCTATATCCACTTAGGGCCACAGTTCCAGGCTTAAGGGTGGGGTTTAGCCGGGAGCCCAGCCCTTTTGTATCAGTGGCAGAGTTTCTGTCCTTTGGCACTTGTTATACAATAGGTCGGCGTAAGGGAGTGTTGTGCAGTGGGAGAGGGTACACCCTGGAGACTCTAAGATCTTTGTCCAACTCCCAATTCCACCACTTACCATCTACAGAGTTAGGAAGCAGTCCCTGAGACCATTCTTACTTCTGACCAATTGCAAGCTCAAGCATTCCCAAGACCCCTCTTAGGTCAGTAATTTATTAGAAGGACTCATAGAACTGAGAGCTCATAGGCTCATAATGGTGGTTTATTACAATAAAAGGATACAGATTAGAATTAGCCAAAAGAAGAGACAGGTCAAGCAGAGTCCAGGAGAGTTGCATGTGCAGAGATCGCAGTTATTCTCTCTTGATGAAGCTGAGGACAGTGCTAAAGTCTCCCAGGAACAATGTGTGACACTGCATGCAAAATATTGCTAATCAGGGAAGTTCTTCCAATCCTTAGTGTCCAGGGATTTTATTGGGGCTCAGTCATGTAGTCATGGCTGACCATCCAAGTGGTTGACCTTAGTTTCTAGCCCCTCTGGAGGTTGAGCCGATGCATGCCCAAAGACCCCACCATCCATCATTGTTAGTATAGACTACCTGGTTTTGCCCAAGACCCCCAGGTAGATAAAGATACTCTTATCAGGTGAGATAACCAAGGACTCAGAGATGACCTCCCAGGAGCCAAGGACAAAAGTCAGATCTCTCTAGGGGCAAAGCTAACACTGTACCACACCCCATCTGTGTGATGCTGTACTCTTATTAACCTCACTGGGCATCTATTTCCTCATCAGTAAATTGGGGACAATGATCCCCACCTCACTGGGGTTTCTGAGGAATGAGTAACATAATATATGCAAAAGGCCTAGTATGTGAAAGGCTTCAACAAAAATTAGGTCCTTCCTAGTAAGCTTAAGGGCCTTTGCTCTTATCTTCTAAACTAGCCCAGGGCATTATTCCCTCTTTCCTCTTCTTCCCACCCTGTCTCCCAATTTGCTTTCCCTTTTCCCCCAGAAAAGGATAATACCTTTATTCCCTGTATGTCATTATTAACTTGCTTTTTAAAAAACAAATGTGTGTGTGTTATCATTGTTATAATTTTTAAAACTGTGCTATTGCATGGATTATTACAATGGATGTAATCATTGTCCTCTTGAGCCGCACTGAGTATCCTTGTGCATACACATCTTTGTGGATTGGGCCAGTGATTCTGCAGGCTGGATTCTTTGAGGTGGCATTGATGGGTCAAGGGTGTCATTAAAGTCTTGATGGTACTGCTGTATTGCTCTCCCAAAAAGGCCATACCAAGTTAAACCTCCACCAATGATGCACGAATCTGCCAGTTTCCCCACACTTCCTAGGGACCAGTGTGGAAGAGGATGGCTTCAAGTGCCCGAGACTCATACCTGGGGCTTTCTCTTGGTCTGAGCCCAGGATGAGGCAGGGCTTATGGAATTTCATTGGGAGGAATGAAACACTAGGGAATGTGAAAATCCTGTGACTTGCCATTCACCATGACAGAGGACACAGTGAGTGAGGTTTCAGGTCTGGGTTGAAAGTCCATGCTTGCTGAGGGTTCCAGCCAGAACTAGAGGTGCAAACCCAGGGAAGAAAAAGAAGCAGGAAGGCCAGATAAATGTCAGGAAAGAAAAAGAGCAACCACTTTCTGCCCTCGGTCCTGAGTGAGTCTGTTCCTGACACAGCAGCAGAACAGCCTGCAAGGTGCGTAGGCTCTTCTTAGTCCCCAGAGTCCATCACCAGCAGGGGGTGCCTCTCCCTCCATCAGGACTTGCCTGCAGCTCTGGGACACCACCGAGGCCAAGGAAACACCTTCACCCTCAGGGCCTCTGGGGGTCACCATGCTCCCTTTAGGCCCACACTTAATTTCTTTATACTAAGGCCATGAAACTTGAGTCCCAGTTCAGTTTCAACCACCAAACCACTGTGTGGGGTCCATCTCTCTAGACCTTCGTGTATTTGCTGTTTAAAAGTAATGAAGAAAGGGGAGGGAAGGCTGAACAATAATTAACATTTGTAAAGAACAGTTTGGTTCAGTACCTTATCTCATTGATGCTCACTCTATGCCCATTTTACAGATGGGAAAAAGAAGACTTAGAGAGGTTAAGTGAACTGCCCAAGTTTACCCTGCTGGTAAGCCAGGACTTTCTTGGCAAATCCTGTGATCCTTCAACTTGACCATATTAGAAGATTCTAGTATTGGTGAAATCTAAAACTTGTAGGGCCCATCTTAAAATAGCAAAGTAGTTTTAACTAGGCACTGTCAGATGCATCTGGGCTTTGAATTATTACTTGGGCAGGTTCCTTGAACTTTGGTGTTCTCATCCAGAATAAAAGACAGTGGTGCCAGGGTAGGAGCTATGAGCACAGAGAAAGTAGCCCTTGAATGGGGCCACAGAGGGATGCTGCAGGGGACTGTAGTTTTGGATGAGGAGCTGAACTAGAAGCTTCCAAGTGCTCTTCCAAGACAAAGATTCTATGATTCCCTAACTGGGATCTTTCCACTGTTTCAGGTGATAATTCTGAGCTCAGATCCTGTGCACAGAACCTAATGCAGTCTTCGTGTCAGAGCTAGAAGAGACCTTGGGCGACCACCCAATCAACTTTTCATGGTTCAGTTGTGGAAACTGATGTCCACAGATAAATGTCTTGCTATCATGTCAGATAGTTCTCCAGCCACGACTGAGGCCTGAGTCCCCCTAGGGCAGAGGAAATCTCCCATTTCTAAAAGAAAGCCCCGCACTGTTCATAGCAGTCACAACCTCTCTCACATCCCTGAATCAGGATCCAACGACTTGCCAATCAACAAATGTTGCTGGAGAGTTTACCACAAACAAGTCTCTGTGCTAGGCCCTGAGAACACAAGCTGTCCGGCAACTTCCTGCTCCCTAAAGTCACAGTCTATGGTGGAGGTGCAAACAAGCGATCCTGTTGGGGCTTCAGGGTACTTCCTCCTGTGTGCTTTGCACGTAGTAGGTGCTCAGCGAACGGAAACGGGGAGACTAGTTATCACTCTCCAGGCAAGCCCGCAAAGAGGCCTCAGGTGAAAAGAGAAAGGAGGATTTTTTTTTCCGGCCCTGGCTCTGCGCACCGCTCCCCAGCGCGCCAGGCGGGGCTGCGTCCGGAGCATCCTTCCCTCCGCCTCTGTCCTGGTCCCCGCTCAGCGGCCGCTAGGAGCGCGAAGGGAGGGGCGCGGGGGCGCGCACGCAGGGTGTCGGGGGCGCGCCGGCCGCCCGGGGACGCGCACGGGCTGGTCTCTGCCCTAATGCGGCGGCTGGCGGCGAGAGGCGCTGCAGGGGACGCGGGGGAAGTGGCGGCGCCGGCAGCGGACAGCTCGGACAGCGCCCAGGGCCGGAGCCCGAGCCCTTGGAGGTAGGCGAGCGCGAACACCGGAGAGATGGGGGTAGAGAGTCATGGAAACCCACCTAGCGACACCCCCTTGTTCCCGCCCTCGTCTGTCTCCATCCCCTGACCTGCCCCCTCCCCCTCCGTCCACATTCCCATCCCTTCCCCTCTCCACACTGTCACCTGCCCCGAATCCATCCGATTCTGTTCGTATGCCCACCCCGTCCCCGTCCAGCTCCCAGCCCCCTGCCCACCCCAACACCCTTTCTATCTCGTTGGCCGCGTCCCCTCCCCCTTCCCGCATCCTCAACCCTTTCCCTTTCCTCTCTGTCCCCGCCTCATCCGTGAGCCCTGCCTGCCCTTGTACTTCTGTTTACCTCGACACCCCACTTTGGATGACCCCATGCCTCCTGTATTTCCTACCGCACACATCAGCCCCTTCTTGCCTCCCCTATTCTCTTCCCCATCTCATGCCCCTACCAGTTGGTGTCCTGTCTCTCCATTTGCTCCCTCAGTTTCTGTCCTCCCCTGGTTCCCCCTTGCACGCCCTGTCCCAGCCCCTTCCCAGCTGCCTCTTGGTGTCCTCCTGCATCACAGTCCCTCTCAAGAACCCCGCCTTCTCCCCCCTTTGGCTGTTAGCTGGCCTGACACCCGTCACCTTCCCTAGCTGCCCTTCCTGGTGCTGTGTGGAGCCATACAGCCTGTACCCAGCCCTCCCTCAGTGGCCTCTGGACCCCCCTTCCCTGGGTGGGGATCTTGGTTGTGGAATATAACCCCTTTCTGCATGTTCGATCCTATTTGTGGCTTGGGGAAGAATGCTGGGGGTTAGTAGGCCTCTCTCTTATGTTCCTCTCCAGCCATGCAGCCACTCTACTCCTCTAGCTGTTCAGGTTTGTTTCCTAGATGGATTGGGGGAGGGGGTGCTAGGCATTGGGAAACTAGGATGGGGAAGGGGCAGGGTCCAGGGGAATGACTGAGCAGACTCCTCCTGGGGCTTGGCCTGAGCCCTGATGTAAAGGCCTGGATGAGGAGCCCTGCTGGAGGGCTGGATAATTTTGGATTTTAGAAAAGATTCTGCTTCAGCCTCCAAGTCAGCACTTTGGCATCTGGAGCTGTCATGAGTGTGGCCCATGGGCTGGGCCAAGAGTGGGCAGAGTGCTGAATCACCTAGAATCTGGTCCCCATGGCAGCCCCCATCCTGTCCTGAGCCAGGTTCTGCTCCTGACTCCTTCCTTGGCATTTTGGCATGGGGTGTGTGTGTGTGTGTGTGTGTGTGTGTGTGTGTGTGTGTTGAGCAGAGATGCCTCATCCCTCAGTGTGGGGGAGAGGACAACAATACCCCTTTTCTGCCTGCCTGTGTCCCTGGCATGAGGGCCTAGTGCGTCTCATCTACCCTTGGAAATGTGCTGGGCCCTGCTGGGCCTCAGTCAAATCTCCAGCAAGGCAAGGGCAAGCCACAGGGCTTTGAGACCTGGTTGGACAGGAGTTTAATTGTTTGTGTGGAGCCAAAGCCAGCCTCAGAGCCCACAGAACTTAAAGCAATAGGAGAATAGCCCAGGGAAAATGTGTGTGAAGAGTGGAAGCCTCTGGGGATAGGGGCCATACCAGCTGTGAGGTGGGGGCAGTGGAGGAAGGCAGGCAGAGATCTATCCTCCTTCTGGTTTGGGGATGATTGGATGTGGTGGAATTGCATTGCAGGAAGAATTGAAGGAGATGGGGGCCTGCTACGCAGCTAATACATTTCACCTTTTGTCTTGACTGAGCTGGCACTTCGGAGGGAGTAATTTCTCCCCTTGTCTTTGGATTCAACTGAAGGGGTGTGTTGTGTGTGTTGTGATGTGTGTGTGTGTTGTGATGTGTGTGTGTGTTGTGATGTGTGTGTGTGTTGTGTGATGTGTGTATAGAGAGAGAGAGAGAGAGAGAATTATGCCAGTAAGGAAAGAGACTCACTCCCACTTAGCCCCAGAAATTGTGGTTGCCACTGTGGAACAGGGAATGGCAGCCCGATTCCTGTCTTAGGGGCTTAGACGAAACCCAGAGGCTTAAATTGAGGCGTTAAGAGCGAATTGCAGACAGACTCTGTCCCTTCTCTGCAAGGCTTTCACTTTAGGAATCCAAGTGACTGGACTCCTTCAGCTCCTGTGCAGTAAACTCTGAATGGGCCTCAGGCAGTGCCTGGCAAGGGGATGTGCTGCTGGGGGCACTGGCTGCACCTTGCTTTGTCACCCTTCTCCGTCGCCTCTCCAGCGTGAGAGGGGGTGGGGCTGGAAGCTTTCCCTGGCATCAGTGCCTAAGGGCTGCCAGCTTTTCCTGGTACAGGGAGAAAGCATTACCTGCAGCCGTTGTTGAGAGCTGATTGGATTAAGGTCCTGATGTTGAAATGCTTGACTGGAGCTCAGGTGAAGTGGGGGATTCTAATAACAGTGTACATATTTCCCAGTTTTGTGCAATGAATTTCACCCCTCACCCCCTTGTTTGGCATCAGAAAGAGTACGGAGAAATAAACCAAGGCACACGGAGGGAGAAGCCAGCTCCCCAGAGAGCTGGAGCAAGACCTTCCAATTGTACCTAGCCAGCTCCCTGTGGGCTGAACTGGCTGCGCTCACAAGGGCTGGTTCTTTTAAGGCACACATTGAAGAGGTGGCTGAGAGCTGGGGGTGGGGTTCTGGCTTTGCATTTCTGGGGTGGGTGGGCCAGAGGAGGGTCTGATTTCTGTGGTGAGTGAGAGACAGGATGCCAAGGCTCTGATCAGTATATTGCAACTTGTTTCCTACCTCTGGCTCCACTCTTCTCCCTCAGGCTTTTTTGGAGGCCAGAGGCACCCTGAGATCTTCAAGACCATGGAGGAGCTGGAGTGTGAGAATCATCCCTTTGTCTTTAGAAAAAGAAATTCTTAGGAAATCAGAGAGGGGGAAGCAGAAAAATTCAGTTCTCAGTCTGTTTGCCTGGGGTGATGTTTGGGGTGGGGAGGGGAGAAGTGAGAGGAACGTAAGGCCGGTTTCATACTTACTCATTTAACAAAGATCCATTAAGCCCTACGGTGTGCTGCTCTGCTAGGTGCTGAGACCATAGAGATGAAAAGTAAGCTAGGGTCCAATCTCTCCGAGCTCCTGGGCAATGGAAGAGGAAGACAGGTGATCAGACAAATAACAGATAAGCTTGAGCAAGAGCATCCGGATAGGGATGTTACACAGCGGGATCTTTAATTCCAGTGGTATCAGCACCCTGCTCTCCACAGCTATGAAGAGGGCTTGGCTGATGCTATCCGGAATGGTAGCTCAGGGCTGACCCTGAAGTTGACTCTCAGGAAAAGGGTAGGGGACAAGATGAGGTTCAAGGTGTTGTCAGATCCCCAGCTTGAAGGGCTAGAGGGGTAATGTTCTGTGTGAACACCTGTGTGAACAAGGTGAACCCGGCTAGATGTGGCTAGAACCTGATAGGGGAATACCCAAAGGGAGCTCTGTGATGAGGTCGAGGCTGCTTAACTCTCCCAATCCCATCTTCTAAGCTCTTGTATTTTAGGGGTAAAGTGTGGCTGGATATGCTTAGAATGTCAGTGAGTCAGAGGAAAGAGGCTCTGGGAGCTACTCGTGTGTAGGCAAGATGCACAGGGATGTGCTGAGAGGCAAGGCGAGGAAAAATATTGTGAGGACTGCAAGGTTCACACACCTGCAAGGTGTGTGAAAGGATTTGGCATTATGGGGAGGTCAGAGTCAGGTGGGAGTCATTGATGGGGAGGGCAAGTTGTTGGTAAGCAGGAGAGGTCCTTAGAAGCTATACACTTGACCACAGATTCCCGCAAATATCCATAGCCGAAGTGGGAAAATAGCCTAAGGAGAGAGACTGTCAGTTTCATCTGTCTGAGTAGCCCCTCTTTTCCCCCACACACCCATTTTTGTTCATTTCATCAATGTATCCTGAGCCTTTGAATCTGTCAGGAGCTGTGCAAGCTATTGGGCATGTAAGTCAAATTGGAGACACAGAAATGAAACCAAATTAAGACTCAGCACAAGAACTGCTATAATTGAGGTTAGATGAATTCCTGGTGTTGTAGGAGCATGGCTGAGGGGTCATAGTGAGCAGTAGGATCTGGAGTGATTGCACCAAACTGTCTGGACAGACCCCTGCCTTGGCTTGAGCAAGTTGATGACAAACCTTTGGGCACTTACAATGCCCAGCTAAGGCCCAGGTCTAGCTGCAAGGGCCCAGGCCTAACTGTAAGGGCAGATGTTGGATGCATATGGCCTGGTCCCTGGACTGCAGAAGAGGGCCTGGGAGTTAATGGCTGTGCGGGGTGCTTGAGTAGGCACTTCCACAGCTTTGCTGACCCAGGACATTGGTTAGATTGTGCCAGCTTGAGAACTCTCAGGCCACCCTTTTTTCATTAGGTCTTGAGGCAAGCCAGAAAAAAATAAAAGTGGCGTAATAACAATAGTCACCATTATCGAGTTCTTTCTATGTGCTAGGCACCCTACTCTATGCTTTATATGCATCATTTCATTTCATCCTCAAAGGGTTAACCCTACAAATGAGATATTGTTAAGTTGCTGGTTTTACAGAAAATGACAGATTCAGAGAAGCTGTTACTTGTTGAAGATTACAGAACAGGTGAGTTGCAGAGCTAGAATCTAAACCTTTATTTGTTTGACTTCAAAGCCTGTGCTCCTCTCCCATATGTCGTACTGAGCCCCACCTCCCACCCCCTCCCCGCCTCCAACCCCAGGTAGAAAAATAAAAAGCTAGGATGTTTTATCCACATGCACAAGGCTTTCTAGGAAAATCTGTTAGAAGGATTCAGTTAGAAGGCATTTTTGAATGCCTTACTTTCTTCTGAAAGATAGAAATGTGGTTCCTGCTTTCAAATAGAAGAAATAAGACTGAGACAGGTAAAACACCTTGAGAACAAGACAATACAGGGTCTAATTAAATCTTCATTGGTGCCTCAGACCTGGGACGGTAAAATTTCAAAGAAAAGCATGATTTGTTAGTTGGATTAGGTTGTTGGAGTCATGGAGGTGACATGGCACAGTAGAAACCATTCAGCCTTTGCAACCAGACAGATCTGCATTCAGACCCTGCTTCTACTACTTGCTAGCTGCATAGCTGCAGCTCATCTGCAAAATGGGGATATTAATATGAACCTTGCAGGGCTGTTACAGAGATTAAATGTGAGAGGATAGTGAAAGGCCCAATGTAATACCTAGCTGGTAGTAAATATTCATCAGATGCTAACTGCTGTACACAGAGGTGTTGGGAATGGAACTGAGCCTCGAAGAATTGGCAGAATTTGGATATGCAAGAGAAGCAGAGGGTATTCTAGATGAAGGAACCATCAGGTGTATAAGCAAAAACTTGGGTTCAGATTCTCTGGGAAAGAAGTGACCTGCCTCATCCTGCCTATTCTCCCCCACCCTCCCCCCACCTTCTCCCTGGTCCATGCCGCAAAGTCTTACAGGAAAAGGACATCATCCTAAAAGGCATGAGGGGCCTTCAACTTCTGGCCCCATTGTTAACTTAAATGGATTTCTTTCTCTGTAAAATTACAGGGTTGCTGCAAGTTCCTGTCCCACAGCCTGTGTTTCTGGGATTTATGTCATTGATTAATTTCTTGTCCTGGCTTTCCTCTCCCACATGCAGTGCCATGAAAAAGTTGGAGTGCCTGGGGCATGGTAGGGTCATGCCCTCACTCCCCTATCATCCCCTCCCGGCTCCTGCTGCTCTCTTCCTCCAGGAAGCAGCTGTCTTAGCATCTGCCTTCTCCTCCTTCACCTGCTCCTCCTCACTCCTCCCCTCCCGGGCTGGCCCAGCCCCTCCTGAAAGGCCTCCCTGGCAGCCCCTCTCCCCGTTATTGTGATGCTAATCATGTTGTTATTTTTTTTTGAGATCCAGAAAGAAGGCCCCAATCTGTTCTAATGAATTTAATTAGAGACGGGCTTGGAGAGCTTCAGAACCTCTTACCGGGATCACAATAAACAGAGTTAACAAGATAAACAGCCTGAGATCAGCCACTCAGGGGTTGGAAAGAAGGATTTCCCGGTCAGTCCTAGAATAAAAAAGTTCTTGGCACCCAGAGTTGGAGGAAGGCTGCGTGAATAGTGGTCCTCCAAGTGGGTTCCCTTCTGGCCTGTTTCTGCCTGCCCCACCCAGCCCCTCGTACTTAGCTTCATACCTAGTTCTGACTCTAGGTGGCAAATGAACCTCCTAAGAAGGTCTAATTATTCTCATCATCATCACCAAGCACCTGCTATTTGGGTCAGCGTTACCACATCATCTTCTGGAGCAATGTGGAGGCTTATGAGACCCTGTCTTCTGCCTTACAGGTGGTAAGAGATATGTGTCCAAATATAAGTAATATTTGCTAATTCCAGAATGTAAGTTCTAGAAAGCTGATGGAAGATCACATTGGGCTTGGGTGATCTGGAAAAGCCTCTTGCAAGAGGAAGTACTTGAGGTGGGTCTTTTTTTTTTTTTTTTTTTTTTTTTGAGATGGAGTCTTGCTCTGTCACCCAGGCTGGAGTGCAGTGGCACGATCTTGACTCACTGCAACCTTGCAACCTCCACCTCCCAGGTCAAGCAATTCTCCTGCCTCAGCCTCCCAAGTAGCTGAGACTACAGGCATCCACCACCACACCCCGCTAATTTTTGTATTTTTTGTAGAGATGGGGGTTTCACCATGTTGGCCAGGCTGGTCTTGAACTCCTGACCTCAAGTGATCCACCCACCTTAGCCTCCCAAAGTGTTGGGATTACAGGCGTGAGCCACTGCGCCCGGCTGGTGGGTCTTGAGATATCAAGACTTGAAGACTTTCTCCAGGACTACTGGAGAAAAATCATGTGCAAAAGCAGGACTATGTAGAGGATCTTTGATTCATGAAGGTAAATGGCATGGTTTGGGTGGTGGGTGCATGTAATTCAGTAGTGAGGGGTGTGTCTGGAGCAGTATATGGAGACAAAAATCATAGAGAACCCTGAGTGCTAGTCTTTACTCTTCTAACCTCGTTGCACTGCTGTCTCCCTGATTTGCTTCTCTGAGCACGTACGATGCCCAGCTCTGGGAAAGGCCTTCTAGGATGGGAGACTTCTGGCCTCCATGCTGAGCTAGCTTTCCTGGATCCAGTTTGGGCCAACTGGAGTGGATTGATCAGATGCTAAGTTTTGTTCTCAGATCTTGTGATTTTCTGGGATGAGAGTGAATGGCTGGCAGAGCAATTCCAAGAACTTTTCCCAGTGATGAAAATTCCCTTTTTCTTTACTGATGCTGGCCAATTTGCTTTGGCAGTAGCATTTTAAACAACCATTTGGTGAAAGCTCCAATTTCAGGGTCAGAGAATTTCATCACTCTTTTCTTTATATTACTAAGAATTCTCTGAGTTGTGTATTGGGATATGTGTGTGCATGTATGTCTGTGTGTGCGTGTGTGTGTGTGTGGTGCCTATGTTAGTAGAATTATTCCAACTAAGTCTGGTTCTAGTTTTATCTTTATTTGCAGGGTAAAAGTCATTAAATATTTCTAGGCCTTTTTTGTTGTTCAAAGGTGGAAGAATCTCCCCTATATCTTACTGTGTGTTGACCATAAGCCAAATTATTTGAGAATAACAGGATGTTAATTATGAGGAGGTATTATAGCTATCTATCATTTTGACAGAAGGTGTAATATTGAGGTAAAATTTTAAGTCTGTCTCCCTGCCACCTAATTCTTGGAACATCTTGACTCGTGAGACCAGCCAGAGTTTTATTTGGGGGCACCACCAATGTTTATGCTTCTTGTTACTTTTCCTAGTCTGTCTGGGCTTGTGTGTAATTAGTAAATGAAGTTAGTACATTGCTGTCAGGTGTTGGCTGACCTATATAAGATAAATTTATATGCAAGACATTGTTGTCACTGCCATTGTTATAATACCTATTGTGTGGTATTTTTCCACATGTTGGAGGTGAATGTCTTTATGGAGGAAAATGCCTCCAAGGCCATAGATGATATTTCTATGCTGACGTAGGTCAGGGCAGAAACTGGATATCTTTCCGATTATCATCACACACTGAGTGGAATTGAAGCCTTTGTCATCCACATTGGGAGCTAAACCAGGATTCTGTGGCTGGCCTCAGCCCTGGGATATGCCCTCGTTTTGTTTTTGTAAGATATTCATTGCATCTGCAGTTATTATTTGAAGACCCTGCTATGTGCATTGCACTCTTCTAGGTGGAAACTTGTTCTGAGAGAAACCTAAACTCAAAAATGTTAGAAATGTTTTAGTTCAAGATAGTTATTTTACTAATCAAGAAATGACTCAGAAGTGTGGCATGACTGACTTGTGACTGCATGGCTGGTTGCTGGCAAAAGCTAGTTCTGGCAAAACCCACATAGGAACCTGGTAATGATACAAGATGATTGATAGGTAATTAAGTTTCTAAAGCATGATCTAAACTAGAAGTGCTTTGGGATGTCAGACAACAGAGGAAATCAGTGTAGATTAAAGTCTTTGGGGAAGGTTCTGAAGAGAAGTGGGGGTTGGCTTGGGCCTCTAGAGATGGGTAGGACCTGAACAGTCAAAGATAAGAAAATGGCATTTCTGGTGGGGAAAGGAGTGCCCACTCAAAGGGCTAGAAGAGGGAAACAGCTAGTGTGGTCAGGCATGGTGAATTGGCCAGGCTGCAGCAGTGGAAGAAGCGGTCTGGGGCCAGACTGTAGCAAACCTTGGCTTGCTGAGGAGTGAATTTTTTTGGCATTGGTGAGGAGTATTTGAAGCTTCATAGCTGAACACTCTCTTGTTCTGAAGACAACAAGATTGTGGTGTTAGAAGAAGTGGGTGGGAAGTCCCTTCCCAGGCACCTGGTGGTTTCTGAGGGGATAGTTCCTTCTGAAGGATGTTTGGGGCAGACGGGAGTGCTGAAATACACTGGGAAGGAGCTTGTCGCTGTCCAGAGTGCTGACCTGACCTGAGATATTTTTCTCTTCAGTGATGCTGCACTGGAAAGTAACGCCGGGGAATGCTTACAACCAGCCAAGGGGATCTCGAGAATGATTCTGCCTAGGACTAGGCAGCATGTGGGCTTTTTGTCAGTAAAATAGTTACAGTATCTGACTTTATGGTCCTTGTGATGAAAGCAAAAGTGTGGAAAGACTGTGTGTCCACGTATGCAGGCTAAGATGGCCCACTTTGTAGCCTTGTAAGTTTTGCCTTAGAACTTTTGGGTTTACATGAGAATTCCAGCACACTGCTTCTTTCATTATGAAAATGCACACCCTCTATTCAGCATCCCACAGAACACCTAAAGCCTCCCCAACAAACCAGGGGAGAGCAGCAGAACTTCCCAGAACACCGTACTCATTACTTCAAATGAAACATCTAAATGCTTTATATTAGTGCTGTCCAATAGAACTTTCTTTGATGATGGAAATGTTCTGTATCTGCACAGTCTAACATAATTAAGCCACCAATTACATGAGCACTTGAAATGTGGCTAATATGACTGAAGAATTGAATTTTGAATTACATTAAATTTATTTATGTAATTTATATTAGACTGCACAGCTCTATAGAGTCAGAATCTTTGACCTTTGCCACTTACCTCTCCTTATTGATCCTCATACCTAAGCCTCTCTGACTTAGAGTAAAGTGGACTTTTGAGTGGGGGTAAGTTTGACCAATTGTTGGAGAAAGCCCCATGCTGAATCCAAACTGAAGTCTGTGTCTGGCTGTGAGTTTTGCCCTGACTTTCTTGTTTTCATAATGAGAAAAACCATCCATGATGCCCTGCAAGTTTTCCATTCAAAAGCCGAGGGAAGGCTCCTTGGATTCTGTCTGGGGTCTCAGGGACCTGATCTAAGACTTTTCGGAGCCTGGAACGGGAAAGCGATGTAGTGTTTATGGCCCTGAAAAGCTGGCTGTGGGGTGAGGTGGGGTGGGGTACAAATAATGTGCTGTGGTGTCAGATGTTTGCAGGCATCTCAGCAGAGAAAGGTTCCCGGTCCTGATCCATCTCCCACTGCAACTCTATGTATCTTTACAGTCATCCCGTTTATCTGGTATAGTGAACATGGCCCAGGGTGGGGGTACAGGTGAGCCTTTTTCTGTTTTGTTTTTGTTTTTCTGAGCCATTTTTGCCCCAAGGAAGAGTGAGTGTTAGAAGTATCAAAGGGTGATAAATGCTTACAAATGCCAAGCAAGAGGTAAGTAATAATAATCTGTCAAAAGACTGGAGCAGAAAATTTCCATGGTGTTGGCGCATGCCAGCCTCCATTGGCCTGCCTAACCTTACCATGAACATGCTTGATTTCCTGTGTCTCTGTTCTTAGGCTTGCTATGTATAAGTCTGATTTCCTAAACCGGGATGCATGCTTTTTGAAGGTATTTCTTATTGTCTTCTTGTTTTCTCCAATAGAATCTCAATGTGCTCATAGTAATCCCTCATAAAGGCCTACTTGTGAGTCACTCTTTGTTAGCATGGAGCAGTGGGTTTGACCCCTAGAAAATGTGTGCACATGAATACAAATAATATTTATTGAGCCCCTGCTGGGCATAAGTCTCTGTGCTCAGTACTGCGGGCATTGACAAAGGAGGAGCTGAAGGTGGTTGCTCCCAGTCTAAAGGGAGAGGAAAGGCAGGCACGTATGAAACACACACACACACACACACACACACACACACACACACACACACACACACGATAGGGAAAAACAAAGACAAAGGCGGTAGCGGGGATCCAGAGCTGCGGGTGGGATGCAGGGTGCTGGAGGGGCCAGATTACATGCGTGTCCCTGTCTGGCCTCTCAGGGATTCCCTCCTTCATGAGGGAATGGCTTAGCTGGTACCAGCCACCTCCATGCCTGCAGTGACAGAGCTGCCTTTATGGTTGGTCAGGCAGCTTGCTCTCTCACTGGGCTGTACCGAGGTAGGGCTGTCCTGAGCTCGCCTCTCCTCTTCCATGGTGAAGAGCACTTAGAAGAGGGTAGGGACATTGGGGAAGAGGGCTGTGGAAAGGGAAGAAACTCTTTTTTCTTTTTGTCACTTAAATGGTGACAGAGCCTTGCTCTTAGACTTCCTTTTAGTCACAGAAGAGATTTGTTGGGTCTCCATCAGCTCTGGCACATGGAGCCCCATGATGCAGGCCCAGGTGCAGCTCTGGAGGAGCAAGAGAAGCAGAGCTTGGTGATGTGGCTCCCCATGATCACCCAGGCCCCTGGCTCTACTGTCTTGGGGTGTGCCCTGCCTGGTGGGGAGTGAGTGGGCTGCATATCCCTGTTGGGGTTGGGGAAGAACTTTTCTGGCTGCCTTGCAGGGAGGAGTCTGCCCTTCACCATCCTCCACATAGTGCTTCTCAGTCCTCCACATGCACACAGATCACCTGGGATCTTGTTAAAATGCAGGTTCAGAATCAGCAGGTCTGGACTGGGTTTGAGATTCTGCTTTTCCAACAAGGTCCCAGGTAATGCCAGTACTGCCCATCTGCAAACTGCACTTTGATGGACAAGGCCCTACGCATGGGTTCTCAACCCTGCCAACATGGTAACATCACTTGGGGAGATCTTACAATATGCTGATACCTGAGACCCAACCTGTACCAAATAAATTGCAATCTCTGAGGGTTGGGTCTAGGTACTGGGATGTTGTAAAGGCCTTCCAGGTAATTCTACTATATAGCCCAATCTGAGAACCACTGGACAGTTTTTCTCCTCCTTCTGCTGTGCTTTTCACGTGGCTATATCTTCTTTACAACAAGAGACTATAAGTGGCTTGAAGTCAGAGAATGTCTTACAGCATATTACTAACACCTGCACCACAGTAGTAGTAGTTCTCTGATGTGTGGGTGGTTAGTTCGGTTGATTACAACATGATGCCAAGGGCTCTGTCACTTGGTGCCACAACTACCACTTGCACAACTACCACTGCCCTGGCCACCACTCCTGTAGATCCACCATCACCCATGAGGGATCAAAGAATGCAGCTGGCTTAGAGCAGGCTAGCTCTACTCTTGGAATAGTGACTCTAAGTGGGTGTCCAGTGCCTGGAACTAAGTCAACTTTCAGTAAATATATACCAAATGGATGATTATTCCAGTGGTGGGGAGGGCAGAGACTGAATTAGGGATCAGAAGACTGGGGCTAAAGTGACTAGCACAAACTGTTCAACCTTCCTTTGCTTTCATTTTCTCAGTTGTAAAATGAGGATACTAATGCCCACTTAATAGGGTGATTTAAGTAATCGTAGAGAAGTGGTCCTGTAGATGCTAGTGTTTTACAGATAAATGATTGTATAAGAATTCATTTCCAAAGTGGCAGGGCTAAGCTATAATGTTAACCCTCTGACTCACGTCCTAACGACCCTTTGGGGTCTCACTATGTGTGCCTGCATCTACAGAATAACAAGAAGGCTATGGGACATGCAATTGACTGGACACCTACTCTGTATCAGTGACTGTCCTAGATGCTTGACTTTGTCATCTCATTGACTCATCACAACCCTGATTAAACGTTATTATTCCCATTACACTGAGAAAATGGAAGCTCAGAAGGGGAACCACCTTGCCCCACATAGCACATGGGTGTGTCTGATTCCAAAGTCTCCTAATCCCAGCTCATTACCCATTGGGAAACTCTGGGTTCCAGCACGAGTTGATGATCCCTTTGTTTGAGAAGCCTCCTTGTTTGGCTGTTGCTTGTATTAGTTAGTGAGATAAGAGTCTGAGTATCACAGAGATTCCAATCTTCTGTTAGGGAATGTTAGGATCTGACAGCATGGGAGCTTTGTGAGTCTTAGCCAACACCATACCATAAAGCCACTGTTCAGTGCTCTTGAGGCCCTGAGGCTGAGGCTGTGACATCTTCCCCATAGAAGAATCACCACCTGCCACCACTGTCCCCTCTCTGCTTGACAGAGCCATTGAACCCAGCATTGGTCTGTTTCACTTACAGGTTTACTTTTGATTGTGGTATTAAAAGAAAATGGGAACATACAAGGGGGACAACCCCATGAGCCTTCCCTAACCATCTTACTTCCAGGTGTGTTGTCAACAGAATGTTTATATCACCTGGTGCCAGTCCCCCCATCCTGAGGGGTCGGTGACTCCTCTCCTCCAGTAGGTTTAGCACTGAGATGAGGTCTGATGTCTGCTCTCCTCCTGTCCACCCCTTTGGCTTCAGCTGTGATGCTATTGCAAGGGCACTTCCTGGCAGAAGTCACCCTAGCTAAGCTCTTCAGTAAAAGGAAACAGGAAGGGTTGATTTGCATGGTCTGACCAGTTAGCGGGTGGAGCCCCAGTCCAGGTGCTTATACATCTATACCTGGAGTAGATCTTTATCTCAAGACCTTATTAGGTATTTGCTGAGGCTAACTGAACCCACACTGAAAAGAGAACAATATATAGCTTACCAGACTGGAAACTCAAGCCTGACTACCTAGGAACTGCAGATATGCAATGGGCTTCCAATATACATTTCTAATGCTTCTCCCTGAGGTCTGACTAAGCATATCTGGTCCACATTTGTTCTCTTGATATCTTCTAATTTGGCTGATTCTTCTCTTATGTATTTCCTGAAATTCTTCAGGGCCAGTTTTACACCACCCAGAACTTTCTTAAGCTTTGCTTATGAATTGTTCAAAGTTTACTTAAAGTACAGAGTGTTTAAGCACTGTATTGCTTCAATTTGTTCTCTGCTAAGTCCCCGCTTTTACATTGTTGCTTTCTCCTCCTTTTTTCTCTTTGAGTGTCCCTAGAGCTTTCTCTGTCTGAAAACTCTTTGTCCCATTTTTGAGTGTACATGGTCAGTATGTTGCTCCTCTGGTTGGAATAGAAACTTCCAGTTAGGCCTGGGCCCAAAACAAATCCCCTGTCACCCAGAAGCCTGGCCCGTTCTGTGTAACACCATTAAATGCTCCATCTGACCACAGAGGCCTGGGGTTTTAATGCTTAATCTTTTTATTCCCACTGACCTGTGGTTATTCCAGCACAACCTGTCCTTTTATTTTAGGAATCAGCATGAAGCCTAGTGGGCTCCTGGGACATGGATGGGCTTCGGGAACTACTGGGGCTTTGATGGGTTTGACTGGTGGGCCCGCAGATTCCTGCCTCCTTTCCTCCTCCATCTGGCTGCCCTCAGCAGTGGGGCCATCAGTGTGTTGCCTTGCTCAGACACCTGGGATGGGAGTTGTCTGCCATTGGTGTGGAGGGAAGCTGAGGCTTAAAGGAATGAATGCTGTATGCTGGGCCCTCCTGGAAGGCTGATGTGGGAGTGGGTCAGGGCTGGGTCAGGTGCTGGCTCCATTCTGAGTCAGACTAGGAAAATCCTCTCTGAACACATCCCATGATTCCTCTGTGTTCCTGAAACCTTGACAAATAAAGAGAGAGCTTTTATATGGCACCATAAAAAGTTGCAGCTGGGGCTTCTGAGAGCAAGAATCCTTTGTTTCTCAGCAGGCTGGTGACATCATCCAGGGCCTACCCAGATGCTGGTGTGTTGGGGACAGACCAATATAGGCCAAGGACTACTCAGCAGTGGCTAAAGATATTGTGCTTGCTGGGACTATTTCCTTTTTTAATTGAACATGTTATTGAGATGGTTAATCCACTTAAGAAATAATACAGAGAGATCCTATGTACCTTTATGCAGTTTCTCCCAATGGTAACATCTTGCAAAATCGTAGTACACTCTCGCAACCAGGATATTGATGTTGATATAATCCACTGATCTTATTTTGACTTTTCTAGTTTTACTTATACTAATTTCTCTGTGTGTCACTCAGATTGTTTTTGCTCCAAATCATTTGTCTGCCTTCTCCCCTTTCTTCCCTCTCCAGGTCTGTCTCTCTCTCTCCCTTCTCTCCTTCCTTCTTTCCTTCTTCCTTCCTTCCTTCCTTCCTTCCTTCCTTCCTTCCTTCCTCCCTCCCTCCCTCCCTCCCTCCCTCCCTTCCTTCCTCCCTCCCTTCCTCCCTTCCTTTCTCCCTTTCTCTCTTTCTCTCTCTTTCTCTCTTTCTTTCACGGAATTTCACTCTTGTTGTCCAGGCTGAAGTGCAAAGGGGTGATCTCGGCTCACCTCACTGCAACCCCTGCCTCCTGGGTTCAAGCGATTCTCCTGCCTTAGCCTCCCGAGTAGCTGGGATTACAGGCATGCACCACTATGCCCAGCTAATTTTGTATTTTTACAAAATTAGTAGATACGGGGGTTTTTAGTACAGACGGGGTTTCTCCACGTTGGTCGGGCTGGTCTTGAACTCCTGATCTCAGGTGATCCGCTTGCTTCGGCCTCCCAAAGTGCTGGGATTACAGGCATGAGCCACTGTGCCTGGCCCCAGGTTTGTTTCTCTAAGGCTACATTGTGCAATGCCAGAGTGCATGCATCTGGTCTTGGAAATAGAATATGGAGCAAGAGCCAGGGCCCAGAACCACACTGCCTGGGTTTCCATTTGGCTCTCTGTTCACCAGTTGTGTGATTTCGGCAAATGACTTACATCTTCCCTAATTTTCATTTGTAAAGTGGAGAGTTAAGTAGGGCTTACCCTTCATGGGTTGTTAGGATTAAAATAAGTAATGCACATGAACCCCTTTGCCTAGTGCCTGGTAAAGTAGAAATGCCCTATGAAAGTTAGCTGTTGTATTCTTGCCCCACTCCCTTCCTGAGGGTAGCTTCATGCTCTGCCTTATTCAAGTACACCTGATGGCTTTGGTGAGCAACCATAAAATGTTTTTGAGCCTCAAATAAGTGCTTAATTGTACGCTAGATACTGTGGGTATTACAGTGGAGACAAAGAGGCAGTTTTTGCCTAAAAAGCCCTTATATTCCAGTAGAGAAAGTATGCCAGGCATCCATGCATGGTAAAGATAACTACACAGGTACTAAAGGACAACTGCAGGCTGGGCGCGGTGGCTCATGCCTGTAATCCCAGCGCTTTGGGAGGCTGAGGCAAGCAGATCACTTGGGCTCAATGTAAGAATTAAAGAAAGAGGAGAGAGACACGAATGGTGGCTTCTCAGTCAACAGGGACAGGTTTATTTTAAATAAACTTGAGAGGGGCAGCTGGCTGAGTTAGGTCAGAGCCACACTCTCCTACAGACTGAGAGTTTTTAAGGATTCTGGGTGGGAGAGTTTATCAGAGGCTTGGACTGCTTCTGTGTCTCTTTGTTGTGCTTATCTGGGAGGGAGAGTTGTGTGTCTGTTCCCATACATCTTTCTGTAGCTGCAGGCATATCCCCCCAAGTCTGCGTTTAGCTTCCCTATCTTAGTGCACCTGAAGAGAAAGGAATGTGCTTATTAAGGCCCACTGTTTTACTGGGGCCCATTGTATGAGGGTGAAGTTTGGTAGTTACCCAAGGGACTTTCCCCCTACTTCCCTCTGTGCCCGAGCTGTCTTATCTGTGTTTTACTGTCCACTCTTTCTGGCTGCTTGTAGTTAAAAGAGAAATGTTTTCCTTGAAATGCATGAGGCTAGAAAGGGAGCTGGAACTTAAAGTGGCGGTGTATGTCCGAGATGATGGTGCTCCTGCTCTGTCAGTCAGGAATTCAAAACCAGCCTGGCCAACATGGTAAAACCCTGTCTCTACTAAAATACAAAAAAAAAAAAAATAGCTGGGCGTGATGGTGAGCACTTGTAATCCCAGCTACTTGGGAGGCTGAGGCAGGAGAATTGCTTGAACCTGGGAGGCGGAGGTTGCAGTGAGCTGAAATTGTGCCACTGCACTCCAGCCTGGGCGACAGAGTGAGACTCCATCTCAAAAAAATAATAATAATAATAAAATAAAGGACAACTGCAAATGGCTGGTTGAGACCACAGAAGCTCCTGGAGTGTAGGAAAGGGAGAGGACATTTTAATCTGTGGTACCTAGAAAGACTTAAAGGAGGAGATTTGGGGTGGAACCTTGAAAGATGAAACTCTGGCCAGGCATGGTGGTTCACACCTATAATCCCAGCACTTTGGGAGGACCAGTCAGGAGGATCCCTTGAGGCCAGGAATTTGAGACCAACCTGGGCAGCATAGCGAAATGCCATTTCTAAAAAAATTTTTTAAAAATCAGCTAGGCATGGTGGCACAGCTATAGCCCTAGTTACTTGGGAGGCTGAGGCAGGAGGATCGCTTGAGCCCAGAAGTTTCAGGTCACAGCGAGCTATGATTGCACCACTGCACACCGCGTGTGTGGTAGGCTGAGACCTCTGACTCTTGCTCCCAATAAGCTCATGAGGTTATGGCTCCACGGGGGAAGGGGCTGGAATTCGGAAGAAATGGACAATCCAGTTATCCTCAAGCCCTGATTGCCTTCATGCTGGCCACACCTACAGGGACAAAGGATGGAAGGAGGAAGGGATGACTTCTGATTTAAAAATGGGGCCCATGGCTGGGCGCCGTGGCTCACACCTGTAATCCCAGCATTTTGGGAGGCTGAGGTGGGAGGATTGCTTGAGCCCAGGAGTTTGAGGCCAGCCAGAGCAAGACAGTGAGAAGTGAGATCCTGTCTATACAAAAAAAAAAAAAGAGGGCCAGGGAGGGTAAGGAGACTGACACAAGAAGGTTAGTCAACAAAACAGGTAGAAGTGAGGTGTTATGTTTCAGAGTAGGGAATTGGAATCCATTTCTCATAGTAAGCCATTTTCCTGTGATCTAATTGTGTCCTTATACCCTTGTTCCACCAGGTTAATACACTAAGCCAATATATTATTTCCTCCATAAAGATGGGGAAACTAATGCACAGAGAGCTTGGTGGCCATTTGGGAGTGCGGCATGAATTAGGGTGGGGCCATGCCATGGTAGCCATCTCCTGACTTTGGCCTGTGGATTTCTAGCCTAGTTCTCTCCTGGGCCTCTGTGACCCAGGTCTCAGCTGATATCTAGCCTGAGGTAAGCTCTGGATTCCTAGGTGGGGGATGGAGGGTAATCCACCCAATGTAAGACCTCTTCCAGATCAAGCAGACCTGGCACAGAGAACCACGTGACCATCACTGCACCCTCCCGGCTGTGGCAGGGTTCCAAGCCCTGGTCTCAACAGCCACGGGACTTGGTGGCCAAGCCTGGGAAGAGCCCATTGTCTTCTTGCATCACCACTGGCTGTGTGGCTGCTGGCTAGCTTGCTTGTTCATTATTTGTTTTGTGGAGGCTGCCCTGAGTCCTATATTCAGCCACAGCTGGGCAGCTGGCACTTGCTCAACTTTTGCCCCAGTCTACCCTAGAATCTCAGTGGTGCTAATGGAAGACTGCTGCCTGTGTGTGTGTACGCGTGTGTGTGTGTGTGTGTGTGTGTGTGGTGTGTAGGAGAAGAGGGAGAAAAGAAGGTGTTAAGCCTCCTGAAAAGGTAGGAGATTTCTGTCTCCACTGGGGGCCTGGTTTTGGGTTGAGAGAACTCAGATGTGTATAAATTGACCTTGGTTATTTGCCTTAACCACCAGTGGGAGGACACATGGGTGGTCATGGGGTCTAAGTGTGAGTGGCCTGTGACTACCCCATCCTGGCTATTGTCATAGCAGCAGCAACAGTAGTAATAATAATAGTTAAGTTAAAATAATGGCAGCTACCAGATATTCAAAGCTTACTATGTGCTAGACAATGTCCTAAGTGCTTTAAATAGATACTATCTCACTCCACATTCTACTTACGACATTTTTTCAGCTGCCCTGTTTTCCAGGCAAGAAAGTGAAGCACAGGGCTACCTTCCCATCTGGTAGCCCAGGGTTCTCTAGCCCTGATCTATTTGTAGGATACCTTTGCTTCCCCATGCCCCTCCACCTGCCTACCTAGGCTGCCTATGTGAGACAGTGAGGAAGGAAGGGCAGGTCTACTTCTCTTCTTACCTTGGGGCTGCTGACTTGCTCCGACTACAGAGACTCCTCCTGGCTCTTTCCCAAGGCTACCAGCCTCTTTTCCTTTATGTCTGCTCACTCATTGGCTATGCATTTGGGAAGTCAGGGGGTTGCAGAGGACGTGACTCTCTCCTGCCATTCCCCCTCCTCTACCTTTTTTCTCCAGAAAATTCCACAAACCCAGTGGGTTAAAAGTGGCTCCTCCTTGGCCCTGTGTTTGATCCACTGCCATCTCTGTTTGGAGGCAGGCCACTTTATATTTTACTTCTTTTCCCATGAGCGGTGGGCATGGGTGGTGAGGGGAATATTGTTCAGTTCCTCTGTTTGTCCCATTCTGAAGTGAAAGCTCACAGGATCCCTCCGGGTCAGAGGAGTTCAAGGACATTAGTCACAGTTAATGGTGTTGATAAGAAGATGGATATAAAGAGAGGGTGGAGGGCAGTTTGGGGTGGCAGTAGGGAACTCACCTCTGGCTCTGCTTTTGTCTTCCCATTACCCCTTTGTACTGGAAACAGTGATAATTCCCCCATTTCCCAGCAGGAAACACTGAGACTTAGAAGGGCCCCAGGAGGGAAGCCTGGAGAACTCGTCCTTTCCCTCTCATCCATTCTCTGTCCAGGAGCTGACACTGCCTCTTAGCAGGTGCTCAGTTGGTCAGGCCCAGTGAGTTAGATGCAGTCCCCTTTTTCATCACTTTTGGCAATTTTGTATTTTTTGAAACAGGATCTTGCTCTGTCACCCAGGCTGGAGTGCAGTGGCGCAATTACAGCTCACTGAGGCCTCAACTTCCCCAGTTAAGTGATCCTCTCACCTCAGCCTCCTAAGTAGCTAGGACCACAGGCATGTGCCACCATGTTTAGCTAATTATTTTTTTTAAGAGACGGGATCTCCCTATATTGCTCAGGCTGGTCTCAAACTCCTGGGTTCAAGCGAACCTCCTGCCTTGGCTTCCCAAAGTGTTGTGATTACAGGCATAAGCCACCACACCCGGTGCGAATTTTATTAAAGTGAGACATACAGTAAAGTACACAGATTTATACTTTCTACTTTTTAAATGTTATTTGTCTGATTATAAAGGTAAAAATCATAAACTTTGAAAAGTGACAATCAAAAAACCCCAGTTGCTTGGGAATAGCAACCGTTAATATTTTATGTGTACTTTTTCTGTTGGTCTTCTAATTTGAGAGTTGTTGCTAGAATCTGGCTGTTGGGAACAGAGCAAATAAGGACAGGGGTCATGGAGAGCTCGTTGCCCTCTTCTCAGGATGTTTCCCGGTTACAACCCAGCTTCTGATCTTCACCTGCAGCTTAGAAGCAAAGCGTTCATTATCATCCCTACCCCAGCTGTTAATAAGTTAAATAATCTGCGATAATACCACAGAGGCCATTATTTATTGAACAGCCTGCTTTGTTCAAAATACAAAAGTCAAGTTTGACATGTGGAATGAGATTCCTAGGGCTTGGAGGCAGGCCTGTCCCTGGGGACACCAGTTGGCCTAAGTGAATTCTGTGTGCTCACACACCTCTGTTAATAGATTGGTGTCTACCTTCAGTCTGCTTCTTAGGCCTCCCTTTGGGGCTTGTGATCAAAGCCAGAGGGTGGGAGCCCTGAATGGGAAGATGTGACCCCATTCGTGGACTTAGCAGCCTCAACCATGTGTGTTTGAGCCTCTCTACCGAAACTAGCTTCTGCTGGGGCCTTGAGTTATTTTATGTGAAGTGCTCACAAGAGTGCTTGGCACATTTTGAGAACCTTGTGTTAGCGAATACCATCACCATCAAGGTCACCATCATCTCCTTATCCAGGCTGGGATAGAAACTGTCAGAGCTTCAAGAGACGTTAAAAACAGTCTCTTCTGTGGTTCTCATGCTTTAGCCTGCATCTGAGGCACTGGGGGGGCTTGTTAGAACATGGATTGCTGGGCCCTGCCCACACAGTTTCTGAGGCAATAGGTATGGGGTGGGGGCCAAGAATGTGTGTTTCTGACAGGTTCACAGGTTCTGCTGATGCTGCTGGTCCAGGGACCACACTTGGAGAGCCATTAGTCCAATTCCCTCATTTTGCAAGTGGGGGCCTGAGGGAAAGAACTCAGTAGGAAGCTTAATACTGTTTGGTTTCAGAGCTAGAACCAAACCCAGGTCTGCAGCCCAGTGCTTTAACCACATGATGTTCTGGTCATCCATCCCCCTGGAAGTGCCCGCAGTTGGGTGGTAAGGGACTGCCTTCCCAAGAGTGAAATAGTTTCAACTCTGGAAAGCAAGCAAGAGCAGGCACAGCAGGCCTCTGAGGGCCAGGAGTCCCAATCCTAACCCTGCTGTGGTCTCTCTTTTATGATGTTGGGTCATTCATCCATGTATGTATCCAAGAAGCATTTACTGATTAATTACCTTCTGTGGGAAAAAAGCTGTGTCTGGCACTGTGACGGTACTTAGACAAACAGGACGTAGGAACATCTCTTTCTGTTCAATCCCATGGTGCTGCCGTTTCCTGCAGTGGGCTCTGGAACCTTCTCCCGAGGGGCACACAGTGAGAAGAGAGGACTTGGAGTAAGGAGACTGGATACTAATCCTTGCTCTGCTCTGACTTAATGGGTGGCCCCAGGTGACCTCTCTAGGCCTCAGTTTCTTCATTAGAAAATTCTGTGAGGCAATGAGTGAAGTGATGGTGAACAGAACTCCTTTCCCAGCCTGAGATTTTACAACTCTGGGGGCTTTCAAATAGCTTGTAATGGCAGCTGTCTTGGTTTCAATTTTTAATCATTTATTTAGTACCTTGTCCCATGTTTTCTTCCTTAATATGGAACAGACTGGACTCTCCTTGTGTATAAGGTGTGAGGAGCTAGAGGAGACAAGATGCCTCTCATGCTTCCACCTCTCAGGTGTCTTGTTATCTGCTGAACACTGCCAACTGCAGTGGTGGTTGATACAGCTTGGCTCTGTGTCCCCATCTAAATCTCATCTCAAATTGTGATCCCCACATGTCAGAGGAGGGGCCTGGTGGGAGGTGATTGAATCATGGGCACAGACGTCCCCCTTGCTATTCTTGTGATAGTGAGTGAGTTCTCACGAGATCTGATGGTTTAAAAGTGTATGGCACTTCTCCTTTGTGCGCTCTGTCTCCTGCTCCGCCATGGTAAGACGCGCTTGCTTCCTGTTCACCTTCCGCCATGACTGTAAGTTTCCTGAGGCCTCCCAGCCATGCTTCTGTACAGCCTGTGGAACTGTGAGTCAACTAAACCTCTTTCTTCATAAATCACCTAGTCTCAGATAGTTCTTTATAGCAGTGTGAGAATGGATTCATACAGTGGTTTTGCCCTCATAGTTTTGCTTTGCTTTTCTTCTTAGTCTATTGTTTATTTTATCCATAATGAACCAGGAAACATATGCAACTTCATAGAGTTAATGAGGAGCACAATAATAATAATAATTCTACAAATTTGTCTGAAGATGATGGCTACCAGATTGTATTCATTTCACCAGAATTTTTACATGACACATCAAGATGTTTCAGTACTAAAAAAAAGTGATAATTATATCTGAAGTGGATTTTCATTTACTGGGAATAAACACTATCTACAACAAAGAAGTGCATGTAAATCAGTCTGAAAGCTTCTCTTTTTTAGAAGCAAAATTTAAAACTGACAAAGCACCAAGTGTATGAATTTCCAACTTCAGCATGTGAGAGCAGCTTTTGACTATTTTTAAACCTTAACATTTGATG